>NC_000004.12:79072896-79224411 GCF_000001405.40 Homo sapiens | reverse complement strand
ACTAAACTATGAACACCACGTGAGCAAGAACTGTAGATGTTATTGAAGCAGCAACATGAACAGAAAAAGGGCTTATGTTGTTTATACTGAAGATTTTTGAGATTGGTAGTGGATTGAATTTTGTGACTTGCCTCTTGACCCCAGTGACACTAGCAATAGCTAGTGCCTGTAGCAGTGGCCGCCCTTGGAATTATGTCACCTGGAGCCACATCCTTTCAGATTCTTGCCTGCTGAACATGCTTTACCTCTCATTTCACACATATACCTGGTGACTCTTGACTACCGCCCTGTGGTTCTTAGACTTCCAGATCTAGAACCCTGCCATTCATAAATGTATGTGCAACCTCAAAGTGCAGAAGAATTGGTACCCTATGAAGAGTTGTTTGCTTATTTTTACATAAGAAAATACTGAAAGGATAAAACAGAAACTAAAATTGTTATCTACAGTGGCTGAAGTTGAGAGAAATATAGTGAGAGATATAAAAATAAAGTGAGAATTTCTATGCATACTGTCATATATATGTAGACTTTTGAACCATGTAAATCTTTTCACACAAAACATATATTTAGATAAAGGAGCAAACCCCAAAATTGAAAGCAAATAAATCTAACTGTTCATGTACTCAAATCAGTAACATAACCATGCAAAAAAAAAAAATTATTTCAAGTGACTTTTGAGCACAATACTCTGGCTATACCTCCTAGGCGGGATATACTCTAAAAAGAAAAATAGCAACTGGTAGAGAAATCTTTTTTTTTTTTTTTAATTATACTTTAAGTTTTAGGGTACATGTGCACATTGTGCAGGTTAGTTACATATGTATACATGTGCCATGCTGGTGCGCTGAACCCACTAACTCGTCATCTAGCATTAGGTATATCTCCTGGTGCTATCCCTCCCCCCTCCCCCCACCCCACAACAGTCCCCAGAGTGTGATATTCCCCTTCCTGTGTCCATGTGATCTCATTGTTCAATTCCCACCTATGAGTGAGAATATGCGGTGTTTGGTTTTTTGTTCTTGTGATAGTTCACTGAGAATGATGATTTCCAATTTCATCCATGTCCCTACAAAGGACATGAACTCATCATTTTTTATGGCTGCATAGTATTCCATGGTGTATATGTGCCACATTTTCTTAATCCAGTCTATCATTGTTGGACATTTGGGTTGGTTCCAAGTCTTTGCTATTGTGAATAATGCCGCAATAAACATACGTGTGCATGAGTCTTTATAGCAGCATGATTTATAGTCCTTTGGGTATATACCCAGTAAAGGGATGGCTGGGTCAAATGGTATTTCCAGTTCTAGATCCCTGAGGAATCGCCACACTGACTTCCACAATGGTTGAACTAGTTTACAGTCCCACCAACAGTGTAAAAGTGTTCCTATTTCTCCACATCCTCTCCAGCACCTGTTGTTTCCTGACTTTTTAATGATTGCCATTCTAACTGGTGTGAGATGGTATCTCATTGTGGTTTTGATTTGCATTTCTCTGATGGCCAGTGATGATGAGCATTTTTTCATGTGTCTTTTGGCTGCATAGATGTCTTCTTTTGAGAAGTGTCTGTTCATATCCTTCACCCACTTTTTGATGGGGTTGTTTGTTTTTTTCTTGTAAATTTGTTTGAGTTCATTGTAGATTCTGTATATTAGCCCTTTGTCAGATGAGTAGGTTGTGAAAATTTTCTCCCATTTTGTAGGTTGCCTGTTCACTCTGATGGTAGTTTCTTTTGCTGTGCAGAAGCTCTTTAGTTTAATTAGATCCCATTTGTCAATTTTGGCTTTTGTTGCCATTGCTTTTGGTGTTTTAGACATGAAGTCCTTGCCCATGCCTATGTCCTGAATGGTAATGCCTAGGTGTTCTTCTAGGGTTTTTATGGTTTTAGGTCTAACGTTTAAGTCTTTAATCCATCTTGAATTGATTTTTGTATAAGGTGTAAGGAAGGGATCCAGTTTCAGCTTTCTACATATGGCTAGCCAGTTTTCCCAGCACCATTTATTAAATAGAGAATCCTTTCCCCATTGCTTGTTTTTCTCAGGTTTGTCAAAGATCAGATAGTTGTAGATATGTGGCGTTATTTCTGAGGTTTTTTGAAAGGATCAACAAAATTGATAGACCGCTAGCAAGACTAATAAAGAAAAAAAGAGAGAAGAATCAAATAGATGCAATAAAAAATGATAAAGGGGATGTCACCACCGATCCCACAGAAATACAAACTACCATCAGAGAATACTACAAACACCTCTACGCAAATAAACTAGAAAATCTAGAAGAAATGGATACATTCCTGGACACATACACTCTCCCAAGACTAAACCAGGAAGAAGTTGAATCTCTGAATAGACCAATAACAGGAGCTGAAATTGTGGCAATAATCAATAGCTTACCAACCAAAAAGAGTCCAGGACCAGATGGATTCACAGCCAAATTCTACCAGAGGTACAAGGAGGAACTGGTACCATTCCTTCTGAAACTATTCCAATCAATAGAAAAAGAGGGAATCCTCCCTAACTCATTTTATGAGGCCAGCATCATTCTGATACCAAAGCCAGGCAGAGACACAACAAAAAAAGAGAATTTTAGACCAATATCCTTGATGAACATTGATGCAAAAATCCTCAATAAAATACTGGCAAAACGAATCCAGCAGCACATCAAAAAGCTTATCCACTATGATCAAGTGGGCTTCATCCCTGGGATGCAAGGCTGGTTCAATATTCGCAAATCAACAAATGTAATCCAGCATATAAACAGAGCCAAAGACAAAAACCACATGATTATCTCAATAGATGCAGAAAAAGCCTTTGACAAAATTCAACAACCCTTCATGCTAAAAACTCTCAATAAATTAGGTATCGATGGGACGTATTTCAAAATAATAAGAGCTATCTATGACAAACCCACAGCCAATATCATACTGAATGGGCAAAAACTGGAAGCATTCCCTTTGAAAACTGGCACAAGACAGGGATGCCCTCTCTCACCACTCCTATTCAACATAGTGTTGGAAGTTCTGGCCAGGGCAATTAGGCAGGAGAAGGAAATAAAGGGTATTCAATTAGGAAAAGAGGAAGTCAAATTGTCCCTGTTTGCAGATGACATGATTGTATATCTAGAAAACCCCACTGTCTCAGCCCCAAATCTCCTTAAGCTGATAAGCAACTTCAGCAAAGTCTCAGGATACAAAATCAATGTACAAAAATCACAAGCATTCTTATACACTAACAACAGACAAACAGAGAGCCACATCATGAGTGAACTCCCATTCACAATTGCTTCAAAGAGAATAAAATACCCAGGAATCCAACTTACAAGGGATGTGAAGGACCTCTTCAAGGAGAACTACAAACCACTGCTCAAGGAAATAAAAGAGGATACAAACAAATGGAAGAACATTCCATGCTCATGGGTAGGAAGAATCAATATCGTGAAAATGGCCATACTGCCCAAGGTAATTTACAGATTCAATGCCATCCCCATCAAGCTACCAATGACTTTCTTCACAGAATTGGAAAAAACTACTTTAAATTTCATATGGAACCAAAAAAGAGCCCACATCGCCAAGTCAATCCTACGCCAAAAGAACAAAGCTGGAGGCATCACACTACCTGACTTCAAACTATACTGCAAGGCTACAGTAACCAAAACAGCATGGTACTGGTACCAAAACAGAGATATTGATCAGTGGAACAGAACAGAGCCCTCAGAAGTAGAGAAATCTTAAACTTGATTTAGATACAATATTGGTGTTGTAATTTAGAAAATATTTTATGCGTATTATAGAAAAATGCAATTAAACAAATTAATACTATTAGGTACCAAGACTTTCAGACATTCAGCATAAAGATTATATATAATCACATATATTATTTATATATATCTTAAAAGTTAAGAAAATCCTATATTACATTTGAAATGTAACTATTCATAGAAATTCAACACACACACACACACACACACACACACACACAGACACACACACGCACACAAACCTATTCCATTGAAAAGTCACAGAAAGCCCAGCACAGTGGCTCATGTCTGTAATCCCAGCACTTTGGGAGGCCAAGGCGGGTGGATCACTTGGGGTCAGGACCTCCAGATCAGCCTGGCCAATATGGCGAAACGCCGTCTCTACTAAAAATACAAAAATTAGCCGGGCGTAGTGGCGCCTGCCTGTAATCTTGGCTACTAGGGAGGCTGAGGCAGGAGAATCACTTGAACCCAGGAAGCGGAGGTTACAGTGAGCCGAGATCGTGCCACTGCATTCCAGTCTGGGTGATAGAATGAGACTCCGTCTCAAAAAAAGTCACAGAAGTAATGACAGTCTTGTAGCAGTGAGCATGCTAGCCCAGATCTTACTCCTAGGCTTCTTGGGACAATGGCTGACTTCGCACATAGGACAAGAAAGTACAAGGTGAGCTCAAAATAGTTTATTATGTTAGAAAGCAAAGCAAGGCTCAAAAACTAATGAAATATTGGTTGGATATGGTTTGATATTTGGGGACAGTTGGAGAAACTTGAACATAGACCAGATATTATCGTTAATTTGCTGCTACTATTATGCTTATGTAGGAGAATGGTTTATTTTAAAGGAATATATGTTGAAAATATTCATTCAGGGATGAAGTGTTGTGATACATGTGACTTACTTCCAAATGGTTCAGAAAAAATGTATATATACATATAAATACAAAGTAATATAGCAAAATATTTATAATGACTGAATGTGAAATGGAGGTATATATGTGATCATTGTATTAGTCTTTCAACTTTTCAGTTTGTTTGGCATTTCTATATTTAAGAGTTGAAAAAAATGTCAATGCATATCATATAGCACAAATAACAGGAAATCAAGCTTATGTTTCCCCTAAGGTCCATTTTAGTCCTTCGATTCTAGAATCACAGAAAAGGAGATTGAGAATAGTGGTTACGGATAATAAAAGAAAAATGGAGGGATTAAAAAACAGCTTTCTATAAGCCAATATCATAACAGCTTGCTCATTAGATCAGTGTGATTACTTCTTTATTAGGCCTTATTTGAGCTGTCATCTGGTATCAATTAGGTCAGTTATAGTCTGTCAGGTCTACTGGAGGGAAATGGAGCAAGGTCCATCATGGTGAGGATGGCATAATTAAAGCAATGGAAATAATGACTACTCTTCATTTAACCCTCATCCAATCGACCAAGCTCATATTGGCCTTCCACTCATATTGAATGCTAAAGATGTGGAAGGAGAGAAAAAACACTTCCAAAACAGTTTTTAAAATCTTGTTTCAATTTAAAGTCAAATCAAATCAGATTATAAAGAAAATATTGTAGGGACTTAAAAAAGTAAAAGGGCATAACCCATTTATAAATATGTTTCTTAATGATTTAATTCTATATTTACATGTGTATATATGTTATATATCATGTATTATATATGTATATACTGTGAATATTTTTCAACAAAAAAGGTGTAATAAAAGTGAACATCTCTGAATATTTTGCTAAAGTGCAAAAATTTTGCATGGTAGTACAGAATTAAAAGAAGACCATTGATATGAATTGAATTCAGCATATACATCTCTTGATCCTTAAAGAATCTAAGCAAAATCCTGAGACCAAGATTGTAGCTATGTTGAAAATCTTTCCAAAGTAATTTGAAATCAGGTTGATTTTATTCAATTACACCTCAATTGTAAAGGTAACAGAAGAAGCAAAGAAGACATAGAAATCCATTTCAATCTAGACATTAAAATATTAAAAAATAGCGGAATTGAGGTTGGGATAATTACTCCAAAAAATTGAACTATGGTGAAATTTCACTTTTATACTCCTGATAGGTAATAAAGTATTTGGACTAATAGTTATCATATATGACAGATGTGAGTTATCAATTTTAATAACTCTTGGTTTTATTAGGTTTTAAATTAGACCTAAATGTACTTCAAAATTCACAAACCTTTAATGACTCAGAAAGCTTTTTAGTATTTTATGGAGTTGTATATGTAAAAATACAGCTAAATATATAGTCACCATAGACTATGTTGTCTAAATTGTTTTTCCAACCAAAAAAAAAAAACTAACTTATTTGTCACTTCCTTCTTTCCTAAATAAAGTACAAAAATGGGGAATATGAAGGTGGGGAGCACATTACATACATGTTTAAGTTATATTGTTAATTTTGATTACAAATTAATGGATGTCTAGCTGAGTGAGGACACATGATACTGATCTGTATTCTCTTACCCCACTGCTGCCATGAAAGTAACTGTTTGACCTATCTTTGACAACTCAATCTTTCTGGGCCTCAGTTATGTCATTTATGAAATGAGGAGAGTATATATTACCAGATAATCCCTAGGTTACTATTCAGTTTTAAATTCTGCACCCTTCATGACTTAGTTACCTCCCTCTAAAGTCATTTACCTTAATGGGAAGGAATTAGGCAAGCACCAAAAAAGGAAAAGTAATATCAGACACTTCTACACATGTATTATTTCTTCCTTCCTTCTCTCTTCCTTCCCTCCCTTTGTTTCTTCCTCTTCTCTCTTTTAAGATTTAGGGATTATTTCTTGTTTAACTGATAAAATTACCTACAATGTAAGATATTATGGTAATTATAATATCCTGTCAAATGTTCTACATTGTCACAAAATTTGCAGGTCTTACTTCCCATATGAATTTTCTAAATCTTTTATCATCAACTGATATCAGCTAATGGCACAGTTACACCACAGCATCTTAATTAGTTTAGCTCAAGTGTAATTTTGGTATGATAAAGCTATTCACTATAATAATTCATGTGCTTATATTTTTCCTTTGATCTTCCCAAAATTCTGATAAAACATTGCTTGACTCTTTACAATTTAAGAAGCTATTAGTGTTAGACACAAGATTAAAGATTGCATCTACCTCTGTTTTAAACCTTGATTTTTTGTTCATACAATCCTTTTTCTATTTACTCTGCCAAATAATAGTAGTAGAAGGAAGTTTTAACCCCAAGCTTTTGGGGGAAAATGAGATAGTCACCAATATTACCACCTAAAATCATGGCAAAGGTATCTGCTATCCCAGTCTCTGGCAGCTCTTTCACAGCTTTTCATCTAGAGTTTGATAGGTAGTAGCTTTCCATTGCCTTCCAAATGAGCCTAGGAGGCCAGTTCACCAGGACTCCCTGCAGTTCTAACAGAACACAGACAAGTTGATCTGCATCCCAAAGCCTGCCACTGGGGCTATATGAAAATGCTGCCTCACTAATAGAAGCACAATATGCAAGATGCCAGTGCATCTCTGTGATTTACAATATGTCTAATGAGCAAACCCAATGAAGAGGTTTGTTGTCTACCATAAAACCACATGGATGTAAGCAGTGATTAGAAGCAATTAACTCTGTTCAGCACTAAATAACTTTCTGTCATTAATGTACATTTTTCCACCTCATTAGAGGTACGGAGGAGAGCATGAGGTAAGGTGCACTCAATTTGAATTTCAGATATGCATATGTTTGGTGGAAAAATTCCATAAATTTGTGAGGAAAACAGAATACATGTTAATAGAGGCCTTGTATTGAAGCCATTTTTATTCCATCAATACTGGCTTGGGCATATACTCAATTTTACCAGCCATCCACCACTCCTTAGGTGAATAGGAAGCTCATGAAGTCAAGTTCTGGTAAGAAACACAAGAGGTGGTCAACAAACTAGTGACAGTGAACATAGATTTTCTTTTTATTTGCTGTCAATATAATAGACTATTCTTTTAAATGATTAGTGATGTCATTTCAAAGAATAAATCTAGAAAATATAATATTATTTAAGATACTTTTTGGGAAATTCAGCCTAAGACATCCAAAAATGTCACTCAGC
Organism: Homo sapiens; assembly: GCF_000001405.40. Classification (NCBI taxonomy): domain Eukaryota; kingdom Metazoa; phylum Chordata; class Mammalia; order Primates; family Hominidae; genus Homo; species Homo sapiens. The sequence goes on along the minus strand of NC_000004.12, from coordinate 79,216,557 downwards.
CCTCCTCTACAAATATCAAGTGTATATAATACCATTTCAGTCATTTGATGAATTTATTAAAGAAGAGAGTTTTGCTAATTGATAGTCTTAATTAAAAAATAAACTTTGACTCTACCCACCAAAAAGAAATCTTTCAAAATGTATTGACTTTTAAAAATAATGTAAGAGATGTTCTGGGTCACAGGCTTATAGTATAATATTAAATGAGTAAAGGAGATATACTATGATCTCAAACATACAAAAGCAAGCTCAGGAAAAATGTGCAAATAAATAAACTATAATAATATTAACAGATATTCTAGAAAATGGGACTCTGGATGGTTTTATTTTCTTCATTATTACTCATAGTTCCCAACTTTTCTACAGTACACAATTTTTTGTTCACTTATCTCCTACCTTGCTCCCCAAAGGACTAGATACAGCTTAAAAAGTAAAATAATTGAGATAAAGAGTAAACATAATTGAGATAATATTTTTAAAATAAAATTATTTGTGCTTATAAATGATTATAAAGAATAGAACAGAGTACTTAAGAGAATGAAATACATGTGTATTTATTTTCTTTTGATGATTATGAATCTGTAATAGTTATGGTTTACCAAAGTCAATAATAGTTAATAATATAATTCTTCTAAAAATACATTCTAAAAATAATACTTAGAGATAAGGTGTATAATACTCATTCTTTGCCAGGTATTTTTCTAATTTGTATGTATTCATTTATTTAATCCTCACTCAATAATTCTATGAGATAAGAACTACTATTATCCTCATTTTATAGTTCTTGACTACTTGGACTACCTGTATTCAAGTCCAAGTCATGCTAGCTACATGAGCATTTTGAAGCAGATTTGCTGTTTACTGGTTACTGACTTGCCTAAATCCAGTAAGACAGAATACTCACATAGATGACAGGTTACATGCAGCAGGCAGAAAGCGACAATTGTGAATCAATACCTGAAGGCTCAGGAAAACTACCTGGGGTGGATAGAGTCTTACTTTTTCATGGTCCACTTGTACCACAGCTGAGGAAACCCAGAAAGCAGCCCAACCTGGGTTTTACACTCCAGGATAACATGATTTGCTGGGATGAAGCATTCAGGGACATCTTCTTTTTAGGGGGGACTGGAATAGAGCCTTGGCTGTTCTGGCCAGTCTACTCTTTTCTCAGGATTTTGCATTCCCAGCATATTTTACAGTTATTCTTGAGAACTTCCAGTAAGGAAAGGGAGGGAACTGGTTGGCCCAAGACTACCCAGAGAACTACCCTGCAAACATAAACAAGTCACTCAATGTCTCTGTGCCTCAGTTTCTAGATCTGTAATACAAGGCATATTAATCCTTATTTAGTAGGACTATTGACTAAGTAAATATGTGTAAATTGGTAAGAACAATATTTAGAAAAGAGCAGGTACTATACAATTAACCATTAGTATCACTTAAAAAATAATTTTTAGAAGAAAATTATCACTGACTTTGATGAACAATATGAGAAATTCATGATCAGCAAAAGGAAATAAATACACTCTCTTAGTCTGTTGGTGCTGCTATAAGAGAATATGATAGACTGGGCAATTTATAACGAACAGACATTTATTTGGCTCACTGTACTGGAGAGTAGGAAGTCTAAGATTGAGGGGGTGGCATCTGGCAAGGGCCTTCTTGCTGTGTCATTCCCTGGTGGAAGGCAGAAATGCAAGAGAGGGTGAGAAATAAGACAGGACTGAAGTTGGACTTTTATTTTTATTTTTATTTTTTTTTAGATGGAGTCTTGCTCTGTTGCCCAGACTGCAGTGCAGTGGCGCCATCTCGGCTCACTGCAAGCTCTGCCTCCTGGTTCATGCCATTCTCCTGCCTCAGCCTCCCAAGTAGCTGAGACTACAGGTGCCCGCCACCATGCCCAGCTAATTTTTTGTATTTTTAGTATAGACAGGGTTTCACTGTGTTAGCCAGGATGGTCTCGATCTCCTGACCTTGTGATCTGCCCACCTCGGCCTCCCAAAGTGCTGGTATTACAGGCGTGAGCCACGGAGCCCGATCCTGAACTTGGCCTTTTATAATAAACCCACTCCCACACTAATGGCATTAATCTAGTCATGAGGGGGGACCACATATGGCCTAATCACCTCTTATTAGGCCCCACCTCCCAACACTGTTGCATTGGGGAATAAGTTTCTACTACATCCTTTTGCAGGGCCAGGGGGTGGTTCATTCAACCAATAGCATACATATATATCAAGTACTTGTGAAAGATCCAACTAAATTCTGTCATATTGGTCTCCATTGCATTAACATTTCTGTTATCAAAATCAAGAGTCCTTACTACTTCCTTCCAGTAGTAGAGGAGTATTTCTATTTTATATGTTCTTGTACCACAATGTGTATTGGAAATCAAGCAGTTCTTTTGCAAGTCATCACCATAAAAAATACTCATGATCAGCAACTGGCTCATAGAGGGGCATTTGGAACATTTGTCAATTCCTGTGTTGTGGTGGTGTAAATAATCCCACTATGGTTAATTTAAAGCTACCAATGATTTACCAACCAGAATGCAAAATTCCTGAAAATATAAGAGTCAGATAGTAAGAAACAGTACTAGCCAGCCCCAGGATATCAGTATTTATTAAGGGCCTATCTGCATGTGCTACAAATTGGGCACTCCATAAATAAGTGGAAACATCAATGACTTGTGTTTCTAAAATGATGTCATCAGTATTTCTGTGAAGGTGAGCAATTATAATGAATAGAGCTAGTTCTAAGCATAACCAAAACAAGTGGAGAAGTAAAGGACATAAGGGATTCCATGTACTTGACCCTCATCTAGTTTAGAACCAGCTTGAAAAAGAAAATAAATAGCTGGATTTTGTTTAGAAACATAAGCAGATAAATGATGTCTTCTCCCATATGATATTCTGGCATATAAACTATAAGATAATCAACTAAATTGAAACACACAAATAAATAAGAGTTTAACTATATTTTAATCATAAGAAGTTCATTTTATATGAGTCATATAAAATGTAAAACAAAAGCTTCCTATTCTTACCATATTATGCATAAATGGGATAGTTTATGCTGATAAAATTTCAAATATTAATTTTAGGAAAAGGAGTTTTTCCAAATCTGAATTTATAAAGTTTTGAAATGACAGACCACATATCCTCAAACCATGGCTCTGATTATCAGAATCCCTAAAGAAAAAAAAAATCAACTACATATCACATCAACTGATCACTTTTACTGCTTACATTTCTGATCCACATGTACTTGCCTGCCTGTACATATTAATATTTCAGCATGTAGCAAAATAACTGAACCCCTGAAGCTCTTTGTTCATTAATACTACTATCTGTCCCATGAATACAGTTGTCATCCTGTGCTTTTGGCAGTTGCTGAAGTTAATTTGTTAGCTTGATAGCCCCACCCAAAACATTGCTCTTTCATTGTGATAATAATGAACCAGTATAAAATTTTTTATACCTTGGAATCAATGTAAAAGTAAGTAAGTGTCTAGTTTACAAGTAGAGTACTGTATTTGGTGTTATAAAGAATAAAGAAAATGGTATATAATATGATCACTGTTCCAAGGAGTTTACAATCTAATTGTGGAGATAAGATAAAGCTTTATGGACAAAATGACACTATACAATTATAATACAGTAGTCCTTCTTTATCCTTGGGGGATATGTTCCAAGACCACTAGTGCATGCCTGAAACTGTGAAGAGTACTGAACCCTTTATATACTGTCTTTATATATATATATATACCTATAATAAAGTTGAACTTATAAACTAGGCACAGTAAGAGATTAACAACAATAACTAATAATAAAATAGAACAATGATAACAATATATTGGATTATAAGTTACGTGACTATGAATTCTCTCTTTCCTCTCAAAATATTTTAGTATTTTTGGACTACAGTTGAGCATGGGTAACTGAAACCATGTAAAGTGAAACCGTGGATAGGAACAGACTACTGTGTTCAAGGAAGATTCAGCCTTTCATTAACCTCATCTCTGACAACCCAGGAAGCAAACAAACAAGCAAAACCTTTGCAAGGTTTTGCAAAGGCCATGTACATGACAAGGCCTTTGCAAGAAAGGAAGCCTTGAGTGCTCACTTAGCAATTATTTCCTACTTTTATAACATCCCAACAAACTAGGCTACGTAATTCAAGCCGACAACTGATTTAAAAGTATCAAAACAGACCTTGGGAGAAATAATGGCCCAGAGTAAAATGAAAAGAAAAACTTTAATAACAGGGGAAATAGTCCTATATATTTTAATGGAGCATTTCAAAGAGTACTATGTTTGACTAATAAAAATTATTGTTCATAATGTTGACCCTAAGTCATCAGGAAAGTGTGAAATTAGAATAACCTGTTTAAAATGGCAAGGAGGCATGTAAAATGTCTTTTGAAAATGTTTCATTCAAAACAGTTAAGTTGTATTGCTTATGACAGGGCATCTGCTATACAGAATTTCTTATGCTCCCAGTGTTTAACATAGCAGAGGTTTCACTGTATATTTTTGTTCTAGAAAATTCCAGGAGACACCTGGCATTGGCAGAGTCTTTTTAAGCTTATGAGAAGAGCTCTCATGAGTCAGAAAAGTTGACATTTCTTTCTAGACTATCTTCCAAGATGAGATGTTTATAAACTCACAACTTTGGGGAAGTTTACCAAATGGTGATAAGAAGATGGTCAATTCTAGACCCATTAAAATGGATGACATTCTAAGGAATTTACCTTGGTTCTTCTGTTTTCCTGCAAAGTGAGCCATTCAGGCATTGCATCTTCTGAAATTTCCTCGCCTCTTTCAGGGAAGCATATTGGGACAGAGCTTGCCAGCTGTCTGCTCCCTTTGCCTTCTGCTGCCATTATCCTGAGGTACCGCCCCACCTTCTGGCCCTCCAGCTTGTGGGGGGTGGGGAATAGGGAGGAGAACAGAACTCTCACTGCCTCTGACATGCATAACACAATGAAAAGAGCAGAAGGAATGTATATCTATACATATATTTGTCTCTCTCTACATATAGACATACATAGACTGATAGTACGAGTGTGTGCATGTATATGCATGTGAATCCACATGCCCAGTGCCAGAATATCTCTATATGTATATATACACGGTATATATTCCATATGCTCTTTCTTTCTGCAGCACACATATGCAGCTGGGAATAACTACTGTGAAAAAAAATTACATACTCACCGAAGACAAATTATGAAGCAGAAACAAGAATATATGGAATGTAGCTATTATAAATTCTTCTCATCTGCTGCCTGCCTTTATTAGAACATGCTCATGTAGCTTAAGAAAATATCTAGCGTTTTATATTGCATGCATATAAAACTACCTCTTTTCCCTCAGTCTCATGTTTTACACAAGCTCAGCCAGTCACTTAAGCTGGTTCTGGACTCACAACTAATGTAATCAAAAGGTTTAAAGAAACATAATAAATACTTAATGCTGAATTATGATGGTTGAGTAGATTACTGGGCAAAAAAAAGCACTGTATAGTTTGAGCAAACAAAAAGATGACAGGATTCCATAATAGACAAATGTGTATAATGACTACTATCTGCAAGTCACTGCACAAAAGACCCAGGCATCCACTTTGTCGTTTAATCCTCACCTGCCCCTATGCAGTTATTACCATCACTCTCGCCATTTTACAGATAAAGAAAGCGGGGTTTAGAGAAACTAAATAACTGACCTATTGGGCCGGGATCTGGCTGCAGTATATCTGCCTCCAGAGCCTTTCTTCTTCTTTTTTTTATTTTTCTTTTTTTGAGACGGAGTCTTGCAGAGCCTTTCTTCTTAAACACCATCTTACGCTGCCGCTAACCCAGGGTATATTAAGATGTCTAACATATATAGAAGCATATGCTGTGCATATAGGAATATAAAAGCATATGATAGTAGTCTAGGTGGTGGAAGCTAACCCCTCCTTTTAAATTTATTTTTGTCATTCCTTTACTATAAGTAGTTGATAAATTTCATGATGCACAATTTTGTAAGGTCCTCTGAACAGGCTATGCCGTGGTGAAGCCATTATGATCCCTGTGATCCACACGTACACATCCAGAAGGTCTCCTGGAGCCAGAAAGTCTGGGACAACAGGAAAACCACAAAGGAAGAAAAAACAGCTAGTTCCTGTCTTAGCTGATTAGCCAGCCTTGCAACATTCTACCCTTGTAACATGCTCTACCCTAACTGATCAACCTCGTGACACTGTGCCCTGTGACCCCTCCCACCTTGTGATAATGTACCTTGTGACATTCTTCCCCGCCCGCAATAAACGTCCCCTAACTGTAACTTTCCACTGCTTAGCCCTAACCTGTAAAACTAGCTCCAATCCCGCCACCCTCCACTGACTCCCTTTTCAGACTCAGCCCACTCGCACCCGAGTGAATCAACAGCCTTGTTGCTCACACTTAGCCTGTTCAGGTTGTCTCTTCAATTAGACACATGCATAACAAATTTAACCAGTGTATTTTTTTTCAGAACAAGTCTTGTTCTGTCACCCAGTCTGGAGTGCAGCAGCGTGATCTCAGCTCACTGCAATGTCCCCCTTCCAGGTTCAAGCGATTCTCTTACCTCAGCCTACCAAATAGCTGGAATTACAGGTGTGCGCCACCACGCCTGGCTAATTTTTGTATTTGCAGTAGAGATGAGGTTTTGCCGTGTTTGCCAGGCTTGTCTCCAACTCCTGGCCTCAAGCAATTTGCCCACCTCCATCTCTGAAAGTATTGGGATTATACATGCGAGCCACGACGCCCAGCCCTGACCAATGTAATCTAAACTGGGTTATTGAGGGTTCAGTTACAATGAATCTGATGTAATTTTTAACTCAAATTTTAAAATAACTACAAGTGTGCAACTTAAATAAGCATTAAAATAGTAAAAAAAAATCCTTTTTTTCCTACTTATATATTAACTTTTATTAAAATTTATCAGGACAATAGTGGCTTACTTACTCAGAGTGACAACAGTAAGCTGAATACTTTCCCAGCATTTGCAATGGTCCCTCTGGGGAGTTGGGTTGGGTGTTCAGTGGATGTATTAACTTTTTTGGGCCACCACAATACACTGAATAGCCTTTAATGGCCTGAAAACGCAGGTGATTAAGCATTCATAGGCCAAGTGACAAATGGCAGCAATCCCAAACCATTTCTCAATGAAGACTTCTTGTTTAGGAATTTATAAGGAAGTAATCACTTAGTAAGATCTATCACCCACTTCAAATGCTTCAATTATTCATCTCACTAACACATTGAGCTTAATTCTCCTCAGTGTCTAAATTGCTTCCTGATATTAATTTAAGGGCTTGAGGAGTGATCCTAACTCATTTAGGCCACTTGGTGCTGTTAAGACTTGTGAAATGTATTTCAGGAAAAGATGCAATTCAGCCGACATTTCAAAAATTGTTCAGCCCACGAACTTCTCACCAGCCTGTCCATTTACAAATTTCAGGCAGTTAAGACAGTAAGTTTAGTACATAATCCCTGCAACTATATAAAATACATTATTATTAGAAAAAAATTATGCAAGCCTGAAAATTTTGTTCCAGAAGCAAAGGGCAGTTTTGGTTTTTTGGGGTTTTTTTTTTTTTTTTTTTTTTGGCAGTTATATAATTTTTTGAGATCACTTTCAATCTACTAATCTCCAGATTTGGGGGAATTTATTTTAATTTATTTATTTTTATTTTCTTGAACCAAATCCAAATTATTAGTTTTAGCTGGAATTCCTTCATTTTTTTAAAGCTTATAATCTAAATTTCTATGAAGAGGTATTATCCTATTTAGCCAAAATATTCATACATGAAATATGTATAATGCTATACAAATGTGACTATTACTTTAAATATAAAATATTAAATTGTAAGCAATAAATATTAGGTTAGGAACAAAACTGAGTTTGGAAAAAAATGTAGAACTACTTCCTGGACTTAATCTCTCCTTTTATAGATGCACAGTAATCATCTATGCAAGAATAAATTTAGCTTAGAGGCTTTTCTTTCATATGTGGGCTAAAAGCCCACCCTTTGTCCAATAGAAATGAAAAGCATGTATATCTATTTCAGTCAGAAATGCAAAATATCTGTATTGGAAGTCCTTTATAGAAAGTATAACCTTGAACTTTCAAATAAGCGTGGTACTTTATAACTATGTTGCACCCTAGCAGCTAAGTCTTATGGTAGGTTCTCATTAAGTATTATCACATTTAATTATTAATAAAACACTTGTTAAGAGTGTTAATATTATTGTATTATTTTTCAGATTAGAACACTGAGGCTTATAGAGTTTAAATGCCTTTCTGGAAATGATTTAGCTAGGGAGAGGCCAAGTGAGGAAAAAACCAGGCCACCTTATTCCAAAGTTAGAGCCCTTGATTCTCGCAACATTCTGTTCCTCCTGTCCAATTCCTATTGAAAGTCAAATTTTGCGAAAATGTACTTAAAGACTGTCTGGAAGTCAGGTAGTTATTTTATTTCTGTAAATATTCTGTTTCAACTTTATTAATATGCCATGCTTACATATCATAATTTGATCTTTGTACAATTGCTTTAAAAGGAATTATCCTTCAATGTTTGATACCCACCTACACTGAGGATCATATTACAACTGGCATATAAAATACATAATATAGAGAAGATGTTGAAGATATCATCCACCCCATAGAAGACAGTCCTACTTTTTTGTTTTTTTAAATGAAGAACAATGTTCTTTTTCTTTATAAAACAATATGTCATTGAAGAAAAATTAGAAGAGAGTAGGAAAAATGAATGATAAAAGCACTCATAATCCCCAACATCCAGTGGTCACTAATGATAACCCTTTGAAGTGTAACTTTCTTGATCAGTTTAGTATGCTAACATATTAAAGAGCATGTTAGGTGTATTAGTCTGCTCAGGCTGCCACAACAAAATTTCACTTAAACAACAGAAATTTATTTTCTCATAACTCTGAAGACTAGAAGTCCAAGATTACCATGCCAGCAGGCTTGGTTTCTTGTGAAGCCTCTCTTCCTGGCCTGAAGATGTTGACTTCTTGCTGTGTGCTTGCATGGGGCCTCTTGTGTGCATGCAATTGAAAGAAAGCTCTGTGTTTCTTCCTCTTCTTCCAAAGCACAACAATCCTAAGGGATTAGAACTCTCCTTTTTTTTTTTTTTTTTTTTTAACCTCATTCAACCTTAATTACCTCCTTAAAGGCCCTATCACCAAACACAGTTATAGTAAAGATTAGACCTTCTGGAATGGATTAAAAAACAATGCAAATATCCGCTGCCCACTTTCACCACTTCTATTCAACATAGTACTGAAAGTCCTAGCCAGAGCAATCAGGCAAGAGCAAGGAATAAATGGCATCCAAATTAGAAAAGAGAGTCAAACTATGTCTATTTGGTGATGATACAATCTCATATCTCAAAAATCCTAAAGACTCCTCCAAAAAACTCCCAGACTTGATAAATGAATTCGGTAAAGACTCAGGTTACAAAATCAATGTATACAAATCAGTAGCACTACTATACACCAATAATGACCAAGCTGAGATCAAATTAAGAACTTAATTCCATTTATAATAGCTACAAAAAAACCAAAATACCCAGGAATATAGCTGTTTGAAATTCTTGTTCTTTGATGCTGTAAAGAAATAGCACTTGAACGTAAATTTAATTTTTTCAGCAAGGCTATTTTTACTTTCTGCAGAAAGGGTACACTTGCTAGCAGTTTTGCTACGAGAGTACACTAAAAAAAGAAAAGAGGGTCATTTATAACTTGACGCATCTACCTTATTGCTGTGTCCGATTTCCCTTGGTTGGAACAGGACTTCACATTCTGTATTTGTCTTGACTGGCTAGCAACTTAGAACTTTTTAAAAGAGGCAAAGGCAGAGGAGAACAAAGGAAGGAGGAAGTAACTTGTGGAATGCTGAGAAAGGTAAAAACACCTTCAAATAAGGAAGAGGCACAGGATATGACCTAATGCTTATTTGGACTAGTATAAGCATGCCAGGGCAAATATTTAGGCTAAATTGTGGGCGCTAAGAACATAAAGTACATTGATTTCTCTATTACGGCTAGCAGACATTCAAGAATGTTAGCACAGGTCTTTGAATAAATTTTGCTTCTAAGAGAAGTTACTATTTATTCTTAATTAGATGGGGGGGAAAGTCTTTGAAGAAGAACCTCTACTTTACTTTTTACATAGTTTACTAAGGAGGTGGCATATCTTAACAAGGTGAACTACAAAACACTGATGAAAGAAATCACAGATGACACAAACAAATGGAAAAATATCCCATACTCATGGATTAGAAGAATCAGTATTGGAAAATGACCATACTGCCTAAAGCAATCTACAGATTCAATGCGATTCCTATCAAAATACCAATGTAATTTCTCCCAGAATTAGAAAAAACATGCTAAAATCCATGTGGAAACAAAAGAGAACCTGAACAGCCAAAGAAATCCTAAGCAAAATGAACGAATGAAGAGGCATCACATTACTTTACTTCAAATTATACTACAAGGCTATAGTAACCAAAACAGCATGGTACTGTTATAAAAGTAGACACATAGACCAATGCAACAGAATAGAGAACCCAGAAAGAAAGCCAAATACCTACAATTAGCTTACCTTCAATAAAGCAGACAAAAAATATACTGGGAAAAGGACACCCTATTCAATAAATGGTGCTAGAAAAATTTGATAGCCACATGCAGAAGAATAAAACTGGATTCCTATCTCTCACCTTATATAAAAAGTAACTCAAGATGAATTAAATATCCAAATGTAGGACCTGAAGCCTAAAAATTCTAGAAGAAATCCTAGGAAAAACTCTTTTGGACATTGACCTAGGCAAATAATTTATAACTAAGACCTCAAAAGCAAATGCAACAAAAACAAAGATAAATAAATGGGACTTAATCAAACTAAAAAGCTTCTGCACAGCAAAAGAAATAATCAACAGAGTAAATATACAACTTACAGACTGGGACAAAATATTCACAAACTATGCGTCTGACAAAGAACTCATATCCAGAATCTACAAGGAACTGAAACAAATCAGAAATTTAAAAAACCAAATAATCCTATTAAAAAGGGGTAAGGGACATCAACAGACATTTCTCAAAAGAAGATATACAAATGACCAACAAACATAGGAAAAAATGCTCAACATCATGAATCATCCAGGAAATGCAAAAACAAAAATAGATGTCGGCACAACTGCAGTGAAAACAGAGTACTTACACACTGTTGGTGGGAATGTAAATTAGTACAACCTCTATGGAAAACAATGTGGAGATTTCTCAAAGAACGAAAAGCAGACCTACCATTCTATCCAGCAATCCCACTACTGGGTATCGACTTAAAGGAAAATAAATCACCTATATCAAAACTACAACCTCACATATCTATTTATTGCAGCACATTTCACAATTGTGAAGGTATTGAATCAACCCATGTTCCCATCAACTGGTAAGTGGATAAAGAAAATGTGGTGTGTATATATAACACAGATGAAAGAAATCATATATATGCAATTTCTTTATATACATATACACACACCCACACCATGGAATAATGTGTGTGTGTGTGTGTGTGTGTGTGTGTATACACACCATGGAATATTAGCCATAAAAAGGAACAAAATAATGTTTTTTGCAGCAAGCCAGATGGAACTGGAGGCCATTATCCTAAGTGAAGTAAATCAGGAATGAAAAATCAAATACTGCATGTTCTTTCTTATAAATGGGAGCTAAGCTATGGGTATGCAAAGGCATACAGAATGGTATAACGCACACTGGAGACTCAGAAGGGGAGTGGGTGGGAGGAGGATAAGGGATTAAAAATTAATTATTATGTACAGTGTGCACTATTGGGTGACAGGTACACTAAAAGCCCAGACTTCACCAATTTATCTGTGTAACCAAAAACCACTTATACACCTAAATTTATTGAAATAAAAGTAGAAGGAGAGAAGGAAGGGACGGAGGGAGGAAGGGAAGGAGGGAGGAAGGGAGGGAGGGAGGGAGGCAGGAAAAAAGAGGGAAAGGAGGGAAGTTCAGACATTCAACTTATGAATTTTGGGGGCACACAATTCAGTCCATACGTTAGGTATAGAATAATACTTCATATACTGTGTAGTAACCTGATTTTTCGCTAACCATTATATTGTGTATATCTTGTCCTGACAAGAAATATTATCTATAATTTTATTGTTATTCTGATAATATGCGATGTACCATAATTTATTAAAATAAAACCTTCATTGTTGCGTGTTGAGTACATTTGAATTTTCCTTAGTGTAAACAACATTGTCATGAGCCTTTTTGCAGCTACCAAATATTTGTCTGTATCTTGGATTATTTCCTGATACCATATTTCTAGTAGAAGAATTACCAAGTCATATAGTAAGCGGGCTGTTAAGACTTTTTATATACATTGTCAAAATACCTTTCAGAAAAGTTATATCAATTTACATACTCAGTAGCAGTGCTTGAGACTGCAAGTTTCTTGAATCCTCACAAAAATGAATATTATTTTAATTTATGCCCATTTACTATGCAAACATTTTCCATTTGATGTTCCAATTTGCACTTCTATTTCTAATGATAACAGAGTTTTCTAATTTTTTTAGTCATTTGTATTTTCTCTTTTGAGATTGCCTGTTCATATCCCTTGTCTCTTTCTCTATTAAAAGATTCATCTTTTTGTCATTGAAATATGTGAGAACTATTAACTCTGAGTGTCACATCTATTTCAAATACATTTTCAGTTTACTTGCTTTTTATTGTATATATATTTTCTGATATTTTTAATATTTTTGAACAACTTGTCTACTGACCTTTTGCACTATGATGTCTGCCCCTGTGGTTATATGTAGAAGAGGTGCCATAGTTAGTGTCCTCTTAAAAAAAAAAAATCAGGGAAAAGCTTTTGCTTAGGTCTCAGTGTCAGAAACAGTGTGCTTCTCCAGAACAATGGTGTGTTTTTGTCTTACAAACACTGTGCATCTTATAATTCATTTTGTTTCTTTCTTTCCTCTGACTACAAGTAGAAACAAATTTATAACCTACCTCCAACAACTACATAAAACATGTAGTGTGGGTACTTCTGTAGGATAATACAAAGGATTATTTTCTTACATTTATTTCCACTCATCAAAGTTTCCTTAACTATTTACAATACTTTCCTAATGTGTGTGCATGTGTGCATGCAGGTGCAAGTATGTGTTGCAAGATGCTTCAAATACCTTCAGAGTTTAGAATATATTCATTTGACTACCCTTAATGGAGTCAAAATTTCATTATTTGATCAAAGATAATAAATAAAAGGAAATCAGCTTAAGTTCGAAGCCTTTTTTTTGAGACTTGGATATTTTTCCATGGTTTATAAACTGGTTTGAAGATAATTCTGCAAGCAAAGCTTTATAAATGAAAACACTTACATCATTAGAATAAATACTTAAAAACTCCGGAAAAAAATTAAGCACAAAAATTTTAATTATGGCTTTACATATATGTTTGAAATCAGCATTATACTTTCACAGATCAACTTGTAGCCATAAATTTGGCTTCTAATACACACATGCAATGTTTTCAACATACCTACATTCTATATGCATAACAATTCACAGTACTTAAATAGAAAGATTGTAGGTTTACCTCACTAATAAGAAGACTACATTAAAGAGCATACCAAATGATTGTACGGCTCTAATAAAAATCTAAATAGCCATAGAAATTAACTTTAGCTTTCAACTGTTTTAAGTGCAACAATGCAATGAAAATACATAATAATTCTAAATCTATTAGAAAGATTCCTATATATTAATAATCAGGTCAGGTTCAGTTACTTGGTGGTTCACCTATCCTGAACAATTACACAGATATATATATATATATATATATATATAAAACTATATATAACTGTATATAAAACTATATATATAAAACTACATATATATATATAACTACATATGGGGTGTGTGTGTGTGCGTGTGTGTGTGTGTGTGTGTATAAAAGTTTACATTATGGCCAATGAAAAGACTTTCAGAAGATGAACTCCACTTTATGTTAATAAAATCAAAGACCTTAGGTCCAGTTGAGAAAAACATTATAAACTCAGGGAAGGGTAAACAATGCCTACACGTCTCAGGCTCATCTGTTCAAAAATATAATGAGGAAAATGGTATTAGAAAGAACACTGCTTAACATAATGTCCTACAGATTCATCCACGTTGTTGCAAATGACAGAATTTTATTCTCCTTTATGGCTGGATAGTATTACATTGTATACATACATTCCACATTTTCTTTATCCATTCATCCACAGAAAATAAGCCAGGCATAGAAACACAAACATCACACGATCTGACTCATATGCAGAATCTAAAAAGGTTGATCTCATGGAAATAGAGAGTAGAATGGTGGTTACCAGAGGCTGAGAAGGACAGAAGGAAGGGAAGGAGTAGGAGAGGATTTTGAATGTTATCACCACAAGTAAATGATAAATGTTTAAAGTGATGCTAATTACCCTGATTTGATTATCATATAATGTATACATGCATTGAAACTTCACACTGTACCCCACAATATGTACAATTATTATGTGTCAATTATAAATAAAATAAAACTTAAAAAAAGAAAAGACAGGATGAAGTTGAAGTTATTTTTTTGATAACTTTACAATATTGTTAATATTCCTCATTGAGAAACTTCTCTAAATAACTCAATAGCTATTTGCTTTAAAAATTCATTATTTATTTTATGTAAATAAATTTGAGCCTAAAGTTCACAGTAATATTTTAGAGAACTGCAAGGCTCACATGGAATATTTACAGGGAGTATCTAAGGCAAGTGAGGAGGATTTCAATTACGTAAAAATTTAAAAAGTCCCAAACACCAAAAATATAAGCAACGTCAAAATAAAAGTGAAAAACTGAAACATACATATGACAGGCAAAGGGTTTTTACCATTAATATAAAAAGAGCTCTTAAAAAATCAGTGTGAAAAAATTAACATCCTGGTACATAAACTGGCAAAGATCGGATTCATAAAGAAAGTAAAATAAATATGAACAGAGCAAGTATTAATGTAAATTAAAACAAGATTCTATGTTTTAGTTATCAATACTCAATACTGTTGAAAAAGTATTGAAATAAGCAATCTCATTTACTGCTGGTACATTCAATGTGGTATTTCTGTAGAGAAATTTTGCTATGTGTATAAAGAATCTTAAACAGAAATTCATTGTTCTTGACATAGTAATACTACTCCTGAGAATCTAGTATAAGGAAATTTGCCCAAAGAGTTTTAGAAAGATGTTTTTACAGCATGATTTATAATGGGAAATTTGGGAATAATCTAAAGGTTCTATGGGTAAATAAATTAAGAAACAGCCATGCACTATATTTTAAAATAGCTTAAAACCTTATTTTCTAAGAATAGCATGAAACGTAAGGAAAAATTTGTGAAGAATCTTAAGAAAAAAACACAATATAAAACGCTATATATGGTATAAAAGCAACTTACAATTTTATTAACATAAAATTGTATATACATACATAAAAATACATATATGTATAATATATATGGCTTATTAGACATCTATTTTCATGTATTTTTCAATTGGGACTTTTATTTGACTTCTCTGAATACAACAAAGTGCAGTGGAAACCAATTTTGTCATGAGCTAGGAAAAAAACCCAGAAACATCTACATCAATGAAAAGCCCAGGATTTCACTGTGAGTTGCATGAGTGAAAGGCTTGCAAAGCATGGTAGGGTCTCACTGGAAGAACAAGAATCAATGACAGGAAAACTCAATTTATAATTAAACTATTTTTATAATTGTTTGACTGAGTCATTTCCAGCCACAGGGTCTCTAATTGAATTTCCCACGTTAAACCTTTCATCTCTCCTATGGCTTCTGTAGGGAAAGCAACTTCCCTAATATCTCTTCTAAGTAACTCCTACCCATCCTTCAGATCTCAAATATCACTTCTTTCAGGAAGGCAGAAACCTACTCAGAACAGGTCAAGTTCCCATTTTATACAATACCTTCACAGTTTTATCCTTCCCTATTGCTCTTAATTCCAATGTAATTTAATAATTAAATGGATGATTCATTGCTGAATGCCTTCTTCCCTCTTTCCCAGAACAAAAATTCTATGAAGGTAGAAATCAACCCCGTCTTGTTCACTACTCTGCCCCCAAGGCCCAGCAAATAACAACAGGCAGCACATTACTATGTGTCAAGTATTCTTCTGAGTTTTTTAGGTATATTAACTTATTTAATCTTCATAACAATCCTATAAGGGAGTTATAATTGTCTTCATTTTAAAACGGGAGGAACTGAGGCACAGAGGTCCCAGGTCACACAACTAGTAAATGTCTGGGCCAAGATTCCAGCCCAAGCTGTCTGGCATCCTTAACCATGATCTATGCCTTCTCGTTGTAGGTACCCCATAAATATTTGAATAAATATTTGAAGAAATGAATGAGGAAGCACATTAGCAATAAAATGTGTATTTGCTATGAATTAAGCACCAGCAGAGACATGCCCTGTAACAGCTGTAGCTCATCATTTCATGGTCACCTGACCATAATAGATGCAGAGGACTCCAGTTCTATAATAGGAATACCATGAACAAAGCTCCATAGACACCCTCATTAGAAATTCAATTATAATGATTTCTTTAGAATAAAAGACTATTTCAGACTTTAGATTTTAGTGACAGAAATCTGAAATTAAAAGATTTGGAGAAAAGGCGTAAATGGTTTTATGACACATATATGCATCAACTCTAATTATAACAACTGACCAGCCACAAAGCTCTCCCTTTTTTGTATGCTCTTATTTCTTGTTGAAATCAGCTTTGAAAGAGGGTCTGTAATTGCAAACAAGTTGTGCAGAATAAACAAGCCATTATTGTAATGAGGATAATTCTTGCTGAGGATTATTTTTAAAAGCCAAATTATAGACTCCCAGTCTAAATTGTATCTGTTTTTTGTCACTCGCTTTCAAATTTGGTACTTATTTGCATTTTGCCTGACCTGCTAGTTAGAGCACAAGTTCACAGAGTCCCTTCTGATGCCATAATGAGCTAAGGTAATAACCACCACATAATTGTGTTCAACTGCATACAAGTGTTTACTTTTTACTGCTGTGCGTCTGCCTCCGAGATTTTTGAGATGCAATTATGCATTGCAAAATTTGCAAGTTGCCAGCCTTGCTTGGACTATTTTTGCTATGTTTCACATTTAAACTGCTTAAGTGTATAAGTGGAGGTATAAAACAGCCAGGTTTTTCAGACTAGAAAATTACTGTTACTTAAATGGCAGAATTTCTGCTCTGTGGTTTCCTATTTCCATGCCTTGCCTCGGCTACATATCTTTTTAACCATCTGTTTCTTTCTGGCGACCAGCTACAGGGAGGCAAGCAACTGTATCTGCATTACTATGTGGTTTGACATCTGGTATCTAAATCCAACCATGGTATTGATTTGTGAATTGTTTAAATATGAGATCATATTAGTTACACTTGCAGATCCCTCTTCATTAACATTTCTAACCCTGCTCATGCCAGAATTGCATGCCATTTGCCATAGAGAAAGAGTATGCATGTTTTCCTGCAGGTTGCATAGAATTTGGGTATGTGAATATGAAATTTTTTAAGTAACAAGAATATATTACACAAGAATTAAAATTGGAAATTTCAGATATGATAGTGAGAGGTGTTAACACACATCTCAATGTGCACATGCTCTTAAGTATTCCCAAGACCGCTCTTGTTGAACAAATTCCAAAACTGTTGAAATCATGACATATATCAATCTTTTTAGACAAAGATACTATTGACCCATGATCATTTGGAAAATGTCGCTGTTCTCTCTAGAAGGAAAGGATTCTACACTGTCTCCTCTTTCCCTTGTTGCTGAAAGTGTGCATGTGGAAAATGCCAACTAGGGTTAGGGTACAGGAGGATACCCCAGACCTCAGAAAACACCAAAACACTGAGGAAATAAAACAATGGCTTTGGTCTCATAAGCACCACTCATGATATAGTTTACAAATGATAGTCATGATGTTCCCAACAATCTCTTAATTCTTCTTAGTTATTGATTCCCATGCTTAATTAAGACCACTTAACAATCCAAGTGAGCCAAGAACAATTCAGATGGAAAGTACAATTTTGCATTAAAAATCATCTCAGAAAAAGATGCGTGATTTTGCTACCATCCTGTTATACATAAGAAGAGAGACAGGAAATTGGTTCTGCCCACGAAGGAGGCATAGAATCTACCTGGACCATGAGAGACCTCTTAAAATGAGTCCCTCTTTATTTCTTGCTTCTTCCACACTCTCACTCTCTTAAACAGGTTTTGACATAATCTTGTAATTATCACTTCAGAAAGCAGACATGAGATCTGTTTAACAAACTACTTGGGAAATATTACTTTTCACATTCTATAGAAAAAGTATCAAAAAAAGCAAACTCCAAATAAAGAAAGGGCATATTTACCAGCTCCTTCAGCTGAAACTAAATTACCTTTAAATCTGCTTAAAGTTATTTTACTTACCTCGCATAACCTTTCCTATCTACTCACCCACACCCTTTATTGACCTAAAGAAATCATATTCATCCTTTATGATTCAGCTCAAATGTCATTTCATCTCTGAAGACTTCCTTGATTCTCCCAGCAAGAGTCAGGTGCTTTGACACAACTCTCCTTTATACTTGAAATACCTCTACGATACTGCCTATGCTTCTATTCAGGTGTGTTTAGATCATGTGTTTACATGACAGTACCAGTCAAGAACTGTCATAATAAGGTTGTATAACAAACTCAGTAACACTACTAGCATAGAGCAATAAGTTTGCTTTACTCACAGGTCTGGGGCTCAGCTAGATATTCTGTTTCAAGTGTTCCATGTGTTATCCAGGCTAGGGAGCAGATGACAAGGAGAAGCTTCTCTAAAGCAATAGCATGGCTCTTAAGCTTGGCTCAAAACTGACACACTCACTTCTGCCCACATATAATTGGCCAAAACAAGTCACATGGCCAAGTCCAAAGTCAAAGCATAAGAAAGTACCCTTCACCCATAATGAGTCCATGGTAAGAAGATAGATGCAGGGAAGACTGAAAACACTGAGGCATAAAATTAAACTACCATAATGTCTACTACAGCAAACGTCACACATTCAATAGAGATTCATTGGATGAATGAATAAATAGAACCCAAAACATTCAGAGTAAATCTCAAAGTTTGTGGAAATAAAATATGCCTTAAAAAAAACCCCTCAGTAATCATATTCCTCTTTAGTAAGCTTTGAGTTATCAATTTAACCTTGTTTGGACTTAAGTACATGCATTTCTTGTTATGGTAACAAATTACCACAAATTCAGTAGCTTAAAACAATATAAATTTATTATCTTATGGTTGTGGAAGTCAGAAATCTGTGTCTCACTGGACTAGAATCAAAATGCTAGCAGGACTATATACCTTTTGGAGGCTCTGGGACAGAATCCTTTTTCTTTCTTTCTTTCTTTCTTTTTTTTTTTTTTTTTTTTTTTTTTTGTCTTTTTCATCTTCCAAAAGAGGTCCACATTCCCTGGTTCATGGCCCCTTCTATCTTCAAAGCCAGTGATGGCAGCCAAACTTTTCCATAGCATATTGCTCTGACACTCTTCTGTTTCTCCCTTCAACATTTAAAGGACTCTTGTGATTACACAGGACCCACCTAGATAACCCAGGAAAATCTCCCTATTTTAAATTTAGCTAATTAGCCACTTTAATATCATCTACAACCTTAATCTCTCTTTGCCATGTAACCTAACATATTCACAAGTTCCATGGAATAGAATATGGACATCTGAAGAGGGGAGGGGAGCAGATTTTTCTGTCTACCACATGGCTACAACATATTCTAATGAAAAAGCACAGATCCAGGAAGCAGTTCTAGTTTGAGTCCTACAACTAGCCAAAAATAGTAAATTGGACAAGTCCCCTAAAATTTCAATTATTTCTGGTGAAATGAGGAGGTGGTTCTAGCTGATCTCTAGGGCCCTTTCCAACTCAAATTCCCTTGATTCTGTGAATATAGTACATCTAATTATACCTTAGAGTTAAAAGAGATTAAAGCCTAATTCATTAGCCTAAAAACAAAAATTCAGGAGAAAGCCTAGCAGTGTTATGGAAACATGGAGGAGGGTCATTATTAATCCTCTCTGGGTGTCTATAGGGGCTTCATGGAGGAGGTGAGATCTGAGCTTATACACCCCTGCAGTAAGGACACTGATATTCTGAGCATGGGAACCAGAGGTAGAGGGCACAGGAAATGAAGGGCACAAACCTTATAGGGGCACAAGCCATGTAGAGAATAGTGAGAAATCACATGTGGACAGAGCATAAAGAGGCAGGAGTAGAGACTGGAAGTGTAGCATAAGGTCAAATTGCGTGCATTCTATGGAGAAAGGGGAGTAAATTTTTTTAGTAAGTAAGGAACAGGCATGGCAGGTGTATTAGTCCATTCTCACACTGCTAATAAAGACATACTCGAGACTGGGTAATTTATAAAGGAAAGAGGTTTAATTGACTCACAGTTCAGCATGGCTGGCGAGGTCTCAGGAAACTTACAATCATGGAGGAAGGGGAAGCGAACACGTCCTTCTTCATATGGCGGCAGCAAGAAGCAGTTCTGAGTAAAAGGGTGAAAAGCCCCTTATAAAACCATCAGATCTCATAGGAACTCACTCACCATCACGAGAACAGCAGCATGGGTGTAACCACCCCCATGATTCAATTACCTCCCACTGGTCCCTCCCAGGACAAATGGGAATTATGGGGACTACAATTCAAGATGAGATTTGGGTGGGGCACAGCCAAACCATATCAATAGGTTTTGTGTCCCTTACAAAGATAATGCAAGAATAATGAGAGAGGGCAGTTTTTTTAGCTGCTTTATTTTATTTAACATTTTAGCTAATAGTGTTGCATTAAACTAGCTTACTGGATACCACAGATTAGATTTTCTTAAAGATTTTAAAAGCCAAAGGAAAAAACAGTAAAGAATATTTGTGTATCAGCTCACCAGTGGTCTTCAAATGTAAAAAAATATTTATTTAGAATAAAAACATATTTTAAAACTATATTTTAAAAATAGAATTATACAAACTGAGTAAGTTCACCCACGTAGAGTTTAGAGAATTAAATACACTTCCAACCCAAAATTACACTCAGCCCCATGCTAAGTGAGCATTTGCTGTATTTATCAACTTCTTATTGACAAGTTGTTCTCAAGATTCCAATTCTGTAGGCTCTGTTTATTCTCTTTGTTTTAGTAGTTACAGTCCAAACTCTGGGGTAGCTAATTGCCCATTAACATTATTTCATCTCTCACCAAAAACATAGATATCTTGAATGATGGGAATGTGTGATTTTAATTGAATCTCTCACTTTTATCTACTGAAGAAGTATTTAGATTAGATAGGACACTTTTCTTTCTGTCTCATCCTTTTTTCTCTGCTCTCTTGAAGATTTGAGCCTCTCCCACAGGACAGCAGAGTGGAGTCCATGGAGTTCCTCAGAGCATTCTTGAGACAAACCATCTGGACTCAAACCTACCTCCAGTATTTGTGTGACACTGAGCAAGTTACTTAACTACTATATGTCTTAGTTTTTTTCATCATAAAATAGGGATAAAAGTAATACACACTTCAAAGGGTTGTAATAAGTGTTAGATAAATCAATATCTGCAACAAGCCTATGCTTAGAAACCAGGCATTATGAAAAGTGTTTATTAAATAAAACCCCCTGGATTGACAGGTATGTGAGAAAGACAAACTCCTTACCTGCTTAAGCCCCTAGAGTATTTTCTGTTACTTATGCCAGAATATAATCTTAGTTGATACATGTGCCAGATAAGGCTTTTCCAAATCAGGCCTTTTAGTTCCTTTCCAATCTCATTTCTCTTTACTCTTTTGCCTCCCCACTTCCTATGCCCAATTTCTCACCTCCGGACACTTGCCCTAAGCACCCAGAGTCACACTGTTACACTTCCCATTATCCTTAAAGACCCACACTTCACCTTCAACATCACATCATTCAGAAAGCCTTTCTTAACTTTTATTCAACACACTATGTTGTACTTATTTCACTACATGTATGTTTCTTTTATTAAAGTGTCAGTGCGCTGAGAAATCAAAGAAAACACAAATGGAAAAACATCCCATGCTCATGCAAAGGAATAATCAATATCATTAAAATGGCTATACTGCCCAAAGCAATTTATAGATTCAATACTATTCCTATTAAATTACCAACGACAGTATTCAATTAGGAAAAGAGGAAGTCAAATTGTCCCTGTTTGCAGATGACATGATTGTATATCTAGAAAACCCCATCGTCTCAGCCCAAAATCTCCTTAAGCTGATAGGCAACTTCAGCAAAGTCTCAGGATACAAAATCAATGTGCAAAAATCACAAGCATTCTTATACACCAATAACAGACAGAGAGCCAAATCATGAGTGAAGGCCCATTCACAGTTGCTTCAAAGAGAATAAAATACCTAGGAATCCAACTTACAAGGGATGTGAAGGACCTCTTCAAGGAGAACTACAAACCACTGCTCAATGAAATAAAAGAAGAGACAAACAAATGGAAGAACATTCCATGTTCATGGGTAGGAAGAATCAATATCGTGAAAATGGCCATACTGCGCAAGGTAATTTATAGATTCAATGCCATCCCCATCAAACTACCAAGGACTTTCTTCACAGAATTGGAAAAAACTATTTTAAAGTTCATATGCAACCAAAAAAGAGCCCGCATTGCCAAATCAATCCTAAGCCAAAAGAACAAAGCTGGAGGCATCACACTACCTGACTTCAAACTATACCACAAGGCTACAGTAACCAAAACAGCATGGTACTGGTACCAAAAGAGAGATATAGACCAATGGAACAGAACAGAGCCCTCAGAAATAATGCTGCATATCTACAACTATCTGATCTTTGACAAATCTGACAAAAACAAGAAATGGGGAAACGATTCCCTATTTAATAAATGGTGCTGGGAAAACTGGCTAGCCATATGTAGAAAGCTGAAACTGGATCCCTTCCTTTACACCTTATACAAAAATTAATTCAAGATGGATTAAAGACTTACATGTTAGACCTAAAACCATAAAAACCCTAGAAGAAAACCTAGGCAATACCATTCAGGACATAGGCATGGGCAAGGACTTCATGCCAAAAACACCAAAAGCAATGGCAACAAAAGCCAAAATTGACAAAAGGGATCTCATTAAACTAAAGAGCTTCTGCACAGCAAAAGAAACTACCATCAGAGTGAACAGGCAACCTACAGAGTGGGAGAAAATTTTTGCAATCTACTCATCTGACAAAGGGCTAATATCCAGAATCTACAATGAACTCAAACAAATTTACAAGAAAAAAACAACCCCATCAAAAAGTGGGCAAAGGATATGAACAGACACTTCTCAAAAGAAGACATTTATGCAGCCAAAAGACACATGAAAAAATGCTCATCATCACTGGCCATCAGAGAAATACAAATCAAAACCACAATGAGATATCATCTCATACCAGTTAGAATGGCGATCATTAAAAAGTCAGGAAACAACAGGTGCTGGAGAGGATGTGGAGAAATAGGAACACTTTTACACTGTTGGTGGGACTGTAAACTAGTTCAACCATTGTGGAAGTCAGTGTGGCGATTCCTCAGGGATCTAGAACTGGAAATACCATTTGACCCAGCCATCCCATTACTGGCTATATACCCAAAGGATTATAAATCATGCTGCTATAAAGACACATGCACACGTATGTTTATTGCGGCACTATTCACAATAGCAAAGACTTGGAACCAACCTAAATGCCCAACAATGATAGACTGAATTAAGAAAATGTGGCACATATACACCATGGAATACTATGCAGCCATAAAAAGGATGAGTTCATGTCCTTTGTAGGGACATGGATGAAGCTGGAAACCATCATTCTCAGCAAACTATCACAAGGACAAAAAACCAAACACCGCATGTTCTCACTCATAGGTGGGAATTGAACAATGAGAACACATGGACACAGGAAGGGGAACATCACACACCAGGGCCTGTTGTGGGGTGGGGGGAGGGGGGAGGGATAGCATTAGGAGATATACCTAATGTTAAATGATGAGTTAATGGGTGCAGCACACCAACATGGCACATGTATACATATGTAACAAACCTGCACATTGTGCACATGTACCCTAAAACCTAAAGTACAAAAAAAAAATTATCAATGACATTCTTCCCAGAGCTAGAAAAAAACAATTTTGAAATTCATATGGAACCAAAAAAGAGCCTGAATAGCCAAGGCAATCCTAAGCAAAAAGAACGAAGCTGGAGGCATCACATTACTCAACTCCAAACTATATTACAGGGCTACAGTAACCAAAACAGCATAGCACTAGCACAAAAACAGGCACATAGACCAATGAAACAGAATAGAAAGTTCAGAAATAATACCACACATCTACAATCATCTAATCTTCAACAAAGCTGACAAAAACAAGAAAGAGGGTAAAGACTCTCTGTTCAATAAATGGTGCTGGGATAACTGGCTAGCCATATGCAGAAGATTGAAGTTGGACCCCCCTCTTACACCGTATACAATAATTAACTCAAGATGGATTAAAGACTTAAATGTAAAACCCAAAACTATAAAAATCCTGGAAGACAACCTAGGCATTACCATCCTGAAAATAGGAACAGGCAAAGATTTCATAACAAAGACTGCAAAAGCAATGACAACAAAAGCAAAAATTGACAAGTGGGATCTAACTGAACTTAAGAACCTCTGTACAGCAAAAGAAACTATCAACAGAGTAAACAGACAACCTACAGAATGGGAGAAAATATTTGCAAAATACGTATCTGAGAATGGTCTAATATCCAGCATCTAAAAGGAACTTAAACAAATGTACAAGAGAAAAACAAACAACTCCATTACAAAGTGGGCAAAGGACATGAACAGACACTTCTCAAAGAATACATACATGCAGCCAACAAGCCTATGCAATAAAAAGCTCAATATCACTGATCATTAGAAAAATGGAAATCAAAACCACAATGAGATACCATCTCACACCAGTCAGAATGGCTATTATTAAAAAGTAAAAAAAAAAAAAACAGCAGATGCTGATGAGGTTGCAGAGAAAAGGGAACACTTACCCACTGTTGGTGGGAGTGTAAATTAGTTCAGCCATTGTGGAAAACACTGTGGCAATTCCTCACTGAGCTAAAAACAGAACTACCATTCAACCCAGCAATCCCATTGCTGGGTATATACCCAGAGGAATATAAATCATTCTGCCATCAAGACACATGCACGCGAACGTTCACTGCAGCACTATTCACAGTAGCAAAGACATGGAATCAACTTAAATGCCCATCGATGACAGATTGGATTTTAAAAATATGGTACATATACACCATGGAATACTATGCAGCCATAACAAAGAATGAGATCATGTATTTTGCGGGAATATAGATGGAGCTGGAGACTATTATTTTTAGCAAAACAATGCAGGAACAGAAAACCAAATACCGCATGTTCTCACTTACAAGTGGAAGCTAAATAATAAGAAATTATGAACATTAAGAAAGAAACAACAGACACTGAGGTCTACTTGAGGGTGGAGGGTGGGAGGAGGGAGAGGAGCATAAAAGATAACTATTGAGTACTGGGCTTAATACCCGGGTGAGGAAATAATCTGTATCAAAAAAACCCTGTAACACAAGTTTACCAATGTAACAAATCTTCACATGTACCCTCAAACCTAAAATAATAACTTAAAAAATTTAAAAAAATAAACAATAAAGTGTCAGCTCCTCCAGGGGGATAAATGGGTCTTTCATTTATCTTTAACGTCTGGCACAGCAACTGGCACAGGATGATTATCAGCAAATGTTGGGTGAATGAAGGGATCACTTTACACAGATTCCTGCCATCAGGCTTTAATTGCTAAGTTGTTAACAGTTTAATCTGTGCTTTTTTTAAAAAAAAAAAAGGGAGAGACAAGGAAGCAAAATGTGGTAAATGTTTTAAATTGCCATACTCCATTCGTTATCAATATTTTATTCTTGTATTTGAAAGGCTCTTCATATACAAACTTTTTAAAAAATGATTTTACGTATGAGGCCACAGAAAATTAAGTTTATTTTAAAATACTTTTTCAAAATCTCATCTCTGTGAAAAAATCCAAGAAGATTAAGAACCTTTTTTTTCTTCAAACGAATTCAATTTTGTCCTTTAGTTTTGCAGTGCACAGAAGAATAACTTTCAAGTTTCTATTACATTTGAAGTGGATTTTTCCCGAAATTGTAAAATATCAGTATCAACAAGACAAATGATGTTTGAAGTGCTTTACACATGATAATTTAGCTTTGTGCGGGTTTTTTGTTTCTGCTGTTGTTTTTGTTTGTGTGGGTGGTTTTTTGTTTTTGTTTTGCTACCCAATGTCAATAATAGCATCCAGTTGACTTGAGACTTTTTATAGTTCTCTGCAAGCCTTCCACACTTTTCTGGTCTCAGTTATAGCTATCTCCACCATACTCATCAAGACTCCTAGCTCACCACCTTGCTCTCTCAATTCATGAAGTCTTTGCTCTATCAATTATTTCTTCTCTTTTCTATGTCTTCAGACTTGCCCTTTCCATTAACTCCTGCCTGTCAACAAATTCTGTCTCCGTCTGGGATCCTTAGAAACAAACCCTTAGACAAGAAGTCAGGTACAAGTATTCAGATAGGGGATGGCAATGTGACACAGGAAATGGAGGAAGTCAACAAAGGGGTGTTACTAATCAAGTTTCTAATCAAGTAAGAGGATACAGTGTGCACCTGCAGCTATACCTTCTTGGGGACTCTGGCAGACAGAACACAGTGTAGGTCTCAGAATTACCTGCAGGGACATGGTGAGAGCTCAGGAAACATGAAAAGGCCACCAGTCATGTCTACTATTCCCACTCCGAATGCCACTTCTGCCTACTGTTAATGTCTGTCCTTTCTCCTTACGTTCCAGCCAGTCTTTTGGAAAGAATAGCTTTTTAAATTGTCTTTTTTCCTCACTTCCTATTGCTTCCTCAAAATGTTGCCATCTAGCCATCCCTTTTAGAAACACCCCAACATTGTTCTTTCCAATATTTCCCTCTAAGCAATCCATTAGACCCTTTGGATCCGTTAGCTTGATTTCTGCTACATCCTGCATCCTTTCTTCTCAAATCTCTCTAGTTCACTGTTTCTCAGGTCACCTATCTCAGTTCTCCTCTTGTCTCTTTGAAATATCTCTGCCTCCTTCATAAGTTTTTTTTTTTTTTTTTTTGAGATGGAGTCTCGCTCTATCACCCAGGCTGGAGTGAAGTGGTGCGATCTCAGCTCACTGCAAGCTCCGCCTCCCGGGTTCACGCGGTTCTCCTGCCTCAGCCTCCCGAGTAGCTGGGACTACAGGCACCTGCCACCACGCCCGGCTCGGCCTCCCAAAGTGCTGCGATTACAGGCGTGAGCCACTGCGCTCGGCCCTTCACAAGTTTCTTATATTTCCTCTTCTCACTGTTGGTGATCCCCAGGGCAGGGTCTGACTTGGCATTTTCTTCTTCGCCCTTCATTCATTTTGTCTTGGGTGAGCTCAGGCCCACCCCAAGCTTCCACTGCTACTGAGAGGCTGAAGACTCTCTTCTGAAATTCAACAGCAAATCATTTATTCATTTGCTGACTAAATATTTCTCAATCTACTATGTAAAATAAAACGTGTCAAGAGATGAATCATAGGAACAATAGTAAGTTTTCATCACATTTATATCTCCGAAGTGTAAAATTTTGTCACCATTAAGTTATGACTATGTTTTTTAAACAGAAGTTTGTCTTTTTTTTTTTCTTTTTTTTTGAGGCGGAGTCTCGCTCTGTCGCCCAGGCTGGAGTGCAGTGGCGAGATCTCGGCTCACTGCAAGCTCCGCCCCTCAGCTTCACGCCATTCTCCTGCCTCAGCCTCTGGAGTAGCTGGGACCACAGGTGCCCACCACTAGGCCGGGCTAATTTTTTGTATTTTTAGTAGAGATGGGGTTTCACCGCGTTAGCCAGGATGGTCTCGATCTCCCGACCTCGTGATCCACCCGCCTCGGCCTCCCAAAGTGCTGGGATTACAGGCGTGAGCCACCGCGCCCGGCCAGAAGTTTCTCTTTATGTTTTTATTTTAACGCTCTTTTTACATCCTCCCTGCCCCTGATAAAATTAATTTTCATCGTTTTACTTGCAGCTTGCTGTTTCAGTGACAACTTTGTAGTATTCAAAATAAAGCTGAATGCCTAGTCTAATTTTAGATAAACAAAAGAGGAAAAAACATTCAAAAAAGGGGAGAAAATTTGTTACAATCGAAAACATAAACAATTCACATTTAAAACTGGAATTCTGTTTTGTTGTTGTTAATGCATATCCTCACAAGTATTTCTTTTTTTTTTTTTTTTTTTTTTTTTGAGACGGAGTCTCACTCTGTCGCCCAGGCTGGAGTGCAGTGGCGCGATCTCGGCTCACTGCAAGCTCCGCCTCCCGGGTTCCCGCCATTCTCCTGCCTCAGCCTCCCGAGTAGCTGGGACTACAGGCGCCCGCCACCGTGCCCGGCTAATTTTTTTTGTATTTTTTAGTAGTGACGGGGTTTCACCGTGTTAGCCAGGATGGTCTCGATCTCCTGACCTCGTGATCAGCCCGCCTCGGCCTCCCAAAGTGCTGGGATTACAGCCTCACAAGCATTTCTAAGTATTAACAACTAGAAGCAAGTTCAGTTTGCTAAACTGCATGAATGGTCTGCACATTAAATAACTGAAGGTTAGAGAAATAAACACATCTTAAAATTCCTCTCCAATAAACCCAAAGAAAAACTACATGCCATCAAATGACACAGTTGGAGATACCGTTTCCGAACCTAATATAAATTGTTAATGTTTTATACCTCAGGACTAACTGTCACGGTTAGTATTTAAACAGCCTCAGTCAATGGGAAGAACTGAAATGTTACTTTTCTCCATGTAAAATTTTTTGATTTTTTATTTGTCTTGAATAATATGAAATGCTACAGTTCCCCTGTAATGCCTGTGAACTGAGTTATTAAATAAATGACTCCAGCCCTGGGCAGCAGTGGGCCATGACATGCAGCTATTTGCACTCACAATACAAATTCAGCTGGATGGATGAACCTGGCATGGTACATCCTCATTGGGATGTTCGTTAGCCTCACTTTACAGCTGTCAGAAATGATATCTGTTATTCAGCCCAGACTCGGGCTCTGAGAAATAATTCTAAAGCAATTGATGATAAAACATGGGAAATTATTTGAGAAAATGCAAACCTATTTGAAAAGCTGACAAACCAAATGTAAAAAAGAAAATCAGTCTTGGAAGATTAAAATGTAATAATAAAAATAATAATTACAGATTAGAGCCAGACAAAGAATATGCACTCAACCTTACCTAAGAGAGTCCTGTGACAGTTTATTACACTAGTCCCCAAGCCACACACTTAATTTGTTTCTAAGCCTGCATCCTATCCCTGTGAGTTACTCAAGTATATAAACCTCACTGTGTTCATCGTGCTTCTCAGGTGTTATATGCATTTCAATGTTCAGTGGAGGTTTGGAGCCTCACAGGTGCTGCCATGTACATTCCAGATAATTTCAGGGATTTAAGGAATTGAAACTGGCTTGTCGTTGGTACTCAGCAGCCCACCAAGACTTCTCTATCCTTGGAACTCCTATAAATATTTTATCTCCATTTGACAAAATCCATCTCTTTTTATCTTTCTTATCATTAGTGTCTCCTCCTTCCCACTAGAATTACAGTTTTGGTACAGCTGAGAATGTGCTTTTTTATTTCTCCAGCTCAGTGCTTGAAGTAGTGTTGTTCACTGATTGGCTTTTAATAAGTTGTTTAAAACCTTTAATATACAGTTATTCAAAGCAATAAAAATGACAATGATGCCCCTGTCCACAGTCCTTCATCTCCAAGGAGGCCATCTTGTCCCCAAAGTCTTTACATTGTTCAATAGAAAAGAAGTTTTCCCCTATCATCTGGTGAATTAAATGTCAACTCCAATATTCCTGTTGGCAAAAGGAATCTTGCCAACAGCTTCGAATTCCTGAATCATTCCAAAGTATTTCTGTACTCAGACATGTTTAGATTCATATTTTGATTCACCTTCAACATATAATATCATTACCATTATAGCCAAATTCAACAGGTATTTTGATAATATATTCATAGCCTTTTAAAAGAAATTTCAGTATATTCGGGAGGCGGGGGGAACACCTTTTAAAATGAGTGGGCTTGTAGCATTTTCAGCACAATGTTTTCTGAACAGCAACTGACCTGAAATATCTCCACATAGACCATATTCAACCTTTAACAAGATGTTTCTCAAGAAAACAGCACCCCAGAAACACATACATGTGTGAGGACACACATACCACTCACACACAAAACACTGTTTTTAATAGCCAAGGGCACTTTGGCACAATGTGGGGCGGTGGTTGTCAACATAAACAGATGGTCAAAGAAGTGGGCAAACACTTCGTGTGAACTAGTTCCATAAATGAAGTTTTTTTTTTTTTAATTTCATTCTAAATGCCATACTTACTTAACCAGCTTTCAGACAAGATGATACATGTAGCCAGTTGGAAAGAGTTTCCTGCCAGGCTTCTGTGTTTTTATGACAAAATTAAAAGTCCACAGATGGAATAACTCAAAGCTAATTCTTACAGAGTTTGTTTAGTTAGAATGGGGTGGGGAGAGAATACCATATTGCTTCAAATTAAAGCCACATCTACAAAATGAGAGACTTTTAATTGGGGAGGAAAGATGTAGAAACAGCTTTTTAAAGAAGTAACATGTCTGTTTTTTAAACGAGTGGAATTATTTATCCATTAAAATAGCAACTTTCCCCAAAGAGTTATAGGATCATCTAGGAAATTCCCAATTCCAAACTCCACTCCCAAATATCTCAGCATCCTTTCAACCAGAGCTTTGAAAAGTGCCACTTTGGCTGCCTTCTAAAGATAAACAATCTTCCCATCATGTCTTCACTAGCCATTACATCTTGAAACCCAAAATAATGACTCCTGCATGAGAATTATGGGGGAAAAAGGTGCTGTCTGAGGAAACATAGAAGAGACCAGCTGTCTTGGCATTGTGTGTTCTGTGAAAGATTTGTGACTTTATTAGAATATTTAGCTGATGTCTTTAGTGAGAAAAAATAGAACTGATGTTTTATCAAACATAATGGCCCATGATAAGGTATGAAAGGTATACAACGTTAACTACTGGAGAAAAATAGAGAGAAAGAACCTACAATGAATAAAAAATCTCTTATAGTAGCCCTGTCAAATGGAATATATTATCCAATATTTCAATTAAAAAAACAAACTCAGGCATGTAAAATTCACGTACAAAATCTAAACTCTAAAAATAAATTTTATGTACAGCTTTTTCAGTTTCAGTGCAGTAAATAAGCACTCAGAAGTCCAAATGTTAAAGAAAAAAGATGTAGTTAATAAAATAATTGTTTTCATCTACAAAATATAAAAAACTTTATTTTTGCCAATTAATTAATTTGATATAATTAGTTTGCTTGTGTCAGGTAAATCTCAGTGTCTATGTGCTATATAGAGAGTAAATTTATATACCAGCTTTTATTTATCTTCCGGAAATACACATACTTATTTCCACAAAAGACGTTTTTCACAGCCAAAGTTGGGGGAAGGGGAGTTCCTAGCGTAAAACTATGTACATTTGTGAGGAAACAGCTGCTCTTCTTCCAAGATTCCACTCTGCTCCCCCAGACTCACAGAGCCTGAGTAAGCTCTAAGCAATGCTGTATAAATTAGGACCTCAAAGAAAACAACCTCTACCTAGCATCCAGCAGTTAAAGTCACAGGTTCTAAAGTGTTTCATTCCCACAGAGGTCTGAGTGAGTAGAACAAACCGAATCAGAAGTTCTTATATTACTTACTGAGTGCTTCACCTGTGATTTCAACTTCTTTATGGAGAAAATTGCCCTTTTAGCTTATATTTCCTATTTTACATGTGATTATCTTTTAGGAGTTCTTTTTAGTGATTTTATTTGTTTCCTCTAGGCTACTTACCAAAGAATCCAGGCAGCATCCTTGCGGCAGTTCAGCATATTTTTAAAACCTCCTTGACATTAGAAAAGGGCTGTTTTTAAATCTCTATTTATTATTTGAAGAAATCATTACAAGGTTCACTTAAAATTAACATTTAATACAATATGGGTTTTATCAAAACAAGTTGCAATATTTTATTTCTTATTTGAAAAGTGTTCTGTAGACATTAGTGTGCCAGGAGAGGCAGACTTTGGATATGTTTTGATAGTTGAAGAAGCATCAGGTCTTCAAATAAAAAAACAGAAGCCATCTCTGTGTTATGTGGCTCTTAATAGAAATGTAGATAGCACTGAGAATGGGAAAGCTAGCATTTTGGTTTCTTCCAAGTAAATGTTGTTGTCAAGGTAGAGCACAAATGTGAAAGACAAAACTCAGCATGTGACATAACTTGATCCTCATTTAAACTTATTTTTGGTGAAAACTAGAAATTGCAAATATTATATTATCACAATGAGAAATTTAAAACATCCTTAGAATCCTAGCGGAAAAGGTACACTGCAAACAAGATAGAAAATAGCATAAAATAGATCGTATTTTCCTTAGGAAGAGGAAAACAAACTGTTCAGTAGCAAGGGGAGGCTGAACAAATATGCTTGCAAGTTCAGAAAAAGATGACAGGCAGAATAAAAGCCAATGATAAAAAAAAAAGGTAGACAATACTATAATTATGCACTTCTTCAGGATATTAGAACATATAACACAAGAGCATCCTAGCAAAATCTTGAGGGAATCCTCTTTCTGCAATGGTCAAGAGTTCATCTTTTTAAGAGAAGAATTTCTCCCAAAATGTTAATTGTTAATACATGGGGAAAAAATATTCCCAAGACATTAGTGTTTCATGGGACTCACTAAAACAAACAAAACAGTAAGTAATACTGTATCTTTTTAGGCCCCACTATTTCTAACAAAACTTTATTTGCCACCTCAATAGCAAGCACTTAAAAAACATTAAAGTTACAGATAGTATCCTTTGGCACAAAATTTGTTTCTTGCATTTTAGATCCTTGAAATTGTATGCAATGCCAAAACAGAAACTTTTTTCCCAAGGTGACACAACGTGTAAGAAGAAAGTAGGGAGAGGGTAGAAGTTATATTATTCATCCTAGTAACCTCCCACAGATTTAAACTTTTACAGCTGTTAATTTTCTTCACATAGAGAGGATTCACATATTGCATAACATATTGCTAGGATCTACGCAGTTGCTTTAATAGACTGTAAATTCTATGTTCAGAGGGGGAAAATGTTACCTCCCCAAGAAGAATCAGATGCAAGAAAAGTAATTTTCTAAACTATATCTAGATAATTCCTGTAAAGATATCTCAGAATAAAGTTTCCATGAGGTCGAGGGCTTTGTATACTAGTTTCCTGAGTCTAGAACAGGTCTTGACATAGTAGAAGCTCAATAAATAATTGTTAAATGATTGATTAGATGAAATAATCCAAAATATTGAATAAAATGATTATAGTATAGGATAGCAGCTTATATTCAACTCTAATTTTTGAGGGTAGCTTAGATAATGGAGAAATGATTACGTGTCTGTCCGTATAAAGTTGCCATTGGTCCCCCCCATTGTTGAGAAGCATTTTATTATTCTTTCCTAGCATAAATGCATCCATTAGAATGATGAGTGAAGCGCTCATTAGTCAACCTGAATACTAAAAGTGGTGGAGGTTAGCTCACTCAAAGCCTGACCTTTCCAAACATTTTGCTTCTTAAAAAAAAGACACTACTTCCCTCCCTAATCTTCACTCTTTGATCCTCTCGTTAATTGGGGAACAATCTCTCTTTTAACTTTGCCAAATATTGCAGAGTATTTTCAGTAAATGTCACCATAAATTGAAAGCTACATTAACATGGTAGATGTGTTTCACTTTCTGATCACATGTAACGAACTTAGTCATTGCTCTTGTGCTTCCCCCATTAGTATTGATTTTCCTAGTTGATAATGGGTGGCAGAAAAAGACTCATTTAAACATTCTCACCCTTTGGCCTGACCAGGAGCTTAATTGTTGCCATGAATACACAACAGACATATTTTTAATACGTTAAAGATAAACATTTATGCTATTATTCTGATTGTGCTATGCCCTCATTATCTCTGTATTTAATATTGCAAAAATGATGAGTTTAGCATGCTGGTGAAGCAAGGGAAAAACCGACAGGTCTATGACTGCTAATCTCACTCACCCATAAGACATTCCCTGCCCTAATAGTTATTACTTGTGACTCTGAATAAGTGATTTAATTTCTCTGAGCCTTGGTTTTGTTCCTAAAATTGGAATATTATCTAGCTTGTAGAATTTATTTAACAATTAGTTCAGAAAACACAAGAAATGACTTCTGTGAAGATATCTCTAAGTATTTCCATTCAGATGCTTTATCTGGAGTTTGTGGTAAAATTATACGTCTATCAGAAGATGATTTTCAACAGAACTACATTTTTAAAAAAACGAATCCAATAGTAGCCACAGATCCACAGATGGAAGTGGCCACATCCCTTACACACCAACTTCAGCCCCAGATTTTAATGTAAAATCAGTGTCATCATAAGTTCGGTGTTTTATTCTTTTCCTTCTTTCAAAAGCAGGCAAAGCAAGAGGACACTGAAGCAGGAGCAGGTTACAAAGCTGCAAATCAGCAGCACAAGGTCAGAGACTAATAAACTACGAGACTGTTAACCAAGAAACTTAACTATAATGTGCCCCTGGAGTAAAATTTCCCCTTAATGGAAACCACCTTATGGTCTCTTAGTCTCCTTCCCGTTCACTGTAGTCAATCATGGCCACCGCGTGTGTAATTTCTTCCTTGAACTTTCTAAGGAGTGAAGGAAAATCTCAGAGCTGGTTGTAACTTTCTACTCTAAACCTTAGCGGCAAGAGCACAGAGTCCACTGCAGCTGGACAGCAGTGCCTAGACTGAGCCACGCCCACTTCCTTAGCAACTCAGGGCAAGAAAGTCACATGGGATGTGAGCAAGAACGCACCTCCCTAGCTGCTTCATCTTTGCCTTTGCCTATGGGAAAACTGAGAACCAGGGAAGTGGACAAAGGCTGTATGGCTTTTTTTTTTTTTTTTAATACTTTAAGTTCTAGGGTACATGTGCACAACGTGCAGGTTTGTTTACATATGTATACATGTGCCATGTTGGTGTGCTGCACCCATTAACTCGTCATTTACATTAGGTATACCTCCTAATGGTATCCCTCCCCCTCCCTCCACCCTACAACACGCCCCGGTGTGTGATGTTCCCCTTCCTGTGGCCAAGTGTTCTCATTGTTCAGTCGCCACCTATGAGTGAGAACATGCGGTGTTTGGTTTTTTGTCCTTGTGATAGTTTGCTGAGAATGATGGTTTCCAGCTCCATCCATGTCACTACAAAGGACATGAACTCATCCTTTTTTATGGCTGCATAGTATTCCATGGTGTATATGTGCCACATTTTCTTAATCCAGTCTATCATTGACGGATATTTGGGTTGGTTCCAAGTCTTTGCTGTTGTGAATAGTGCCGCAGTAAACATACGTGTGCATGTGTCTTTATAGCAGCATGATTTATAATCCTTTGGGTATATAGCCAGTAATGGGATGGCTGGGTCAAATGGTATTTCTAGTTCTAGATCCTTGAGGAATCGCCACACTGTCTTCCACAATGGTTGAACTAGTTTACAGTCCCACCAACAGTGTAAAAGTGTTCCTATTTCTTCACATCCTCTCCAGCACCTGTTGTTTCCTGACTTTTTAATGATCGCCTTTCTAACTGGTGTGAGATGATATCTCATTGTGGTTTTGATTTGTATTTCTCTGATGGCCAGTGATGATGAGCATTTTTTCCTGTGTCTGTTGGCTGCATAAATGTTTTGAGAAGTGTCTGTTCATATCCTTCGCCCACTTTTTGATGGGGTTGTTTGTTTTTATTCGAGACTCTGGTTATATAAACTATAGATTTGTGAACACAAAAAATATTTTTCACTTTTAGAGAAAACACATGTGGTCCATATACATTTCCTGTCATATTTTATAATTTCTTTTATCAGTATAAGACACCTCATTTTTTAAAGGATAGAATATTATGATTTTTTTCCTCCATTTGAAGCAACAAACTCCATTCTTTCATTTACAACAAATTAATTTAAAGAACAGATACAAACAGAATCACCATTGATATAGTTAGGCTTTCTGTCCCCACAAAAATCTCATCTTGAATTGTAGTCCCCGTAATCCCCACATGTCAAGGGAGAGACCAGATGGAGGTAAATGAATCATGGGGGCAGTTTCCCCCATGCTGTTTTCGTGATAGTGAGTTCTCATGAGATCTGATGGTTTCATGAGGGGCTCTTCCCCCTTCACTTGGCACTTCTTCCTCCTGCGACCTTGTGAAGAAGGTGTCTGCTTCCCCTGTGCCTTCCGCTATGATTGTAAGTTTCCTGAGGCCTCTCCAGCCATGTGGAACTGTGAGTCAATTAAACCTCCTTCCTTTATAAATTACTCAGTCTGAAGCAATTCTTTATAGCAGTGTGAAAATGAACAAATAGAACCATGAAATACACTCATGATCTTTCTTGGGAAATAGTAATGCTCTTGATGCTTCATTTGTATTGGGTTTCTGCCTAGTACAGAACCAAAGAAATATTTCCTTATACTTCCTTGGGAAGCATTATTTCATCATGACATCCTCCATATGCTCTGTCCTTCTCCTGCCTTCCCCAAAAGTCTCTGAAGGAACTACACCACTGTGCAATCAAACAGAATAGTAAACAGTAACTTTGATAAAATGGTTTGGGAATGATATTTTGAAAATCATTGTGTATATTTATAGATTATCTTTGAAGAATAGTACTTTTTAATAGGCCTTTAGAAAATATATAGTCAGAAATACAACAAAAAGGAAATACACTTCAAAGTATATCTTCTTGGATCACTGCCTTAAAAATAGCTTTACCATATCTTATTAAAATTCAGAGTTCTGGCATGGAAAAGAAGGGCTAAGCAACTTTCTCGAGGTCAAATTGTAGAATTTCCGCTCTCTCTTAGGTAATTATTAGAGATAACTGCTACTTCTGTACCAAAATTGACTCTAAAGCAAAAAACAAAACAAAACAAAACAAAAAACAAGAATATCATACGTCAAAAAATAACAAAATACACTACATTTAAAACCATGAAATAAATAGCATGAGCTTTCACCTTTGCCTGAATGGTCATATACCTGTCCTTTTGATAAACCTTTCAATGGCTTCCACTTGCATTTAGGGTAAGATCCTAATGCCTGCAATGGTCATGATGATACAGACACTACAAGTCCAAACCCCTTCTCTCTCTCTTGCTCTCTGGGCTCCAGTCCCATTGGCTGCCTCTCAATTTCAGAAACTTGCCAAGTTCTTTCCTGTCTTAGGGCTTTCACACATGCTCTTCTTTCTCCCTGTAATGCTTTTTCTTTCATTCTTTGCACAGCAGTCTCCTTAACCTTCACATCATAGCATAAATGTCAAATCACAGAGACCATTTCATGATCTTCCTGTATATAGTCCACCATCCCAACAACCACCACCAAGGTTATTCTCTCACACAGCACCAAACTTTTCTTTTATAGCACTCATCACAAAGGGCATGCATGTACATTTGTGCATGTATGTGTGTATACTATGTATCTTCTCCACTGGGCTTGAAGTCCCACAAAAGCAGGGACCATGTTTCTGCTATATAAAATGATATTCATAGTATCTAACACAGGACATAAAGCACATAGTAAGCCATCAATAAATATTTGCTGGATGAATAGAAGCTCTTTCTGACCTATGATTATTCTTCCTAATATATATCTCCAAAGTATTTGACATAGGTCATTATCTGAACTATTCTCTAGGACTTGTATCAAATTAGCATTTGAACATTTAAAAATATCCAGTAACTGATTTAGTAATTCTCATATTCTCTGGAGAAGTTAAATACTCTGAATTTAACGTCTGTATCATAATATGTTTTCCCAGAGCACGCAATTATTAAATATTGTTCGCCGTTTTCCTAGTTTATACATTGAACTCGTATCACCTATTTTGCAAATGAAAAAATGTTTGTGATTCAAAGTCATGCCTTACCATTAAATATGGACAAAACTAAAAATAAAACAGACTTTGTCTCTAGTCAAATTTCTGGGCCATGGCAGCCAGCAAAGGAAGTTTAAAATTTGCTGTGAAAGTTAAGTGCAAATATTTCTAAATATTATTGTTCAAAAGATATCTTGCTTCATTTGTTTTGCTCAGTTTTACTTTTAATGTTCAACTCAGATGCTGATAACATCTGAGAACAATCTGAGAACAGCTATGAGAACAATTAAATTAGACTAGATGAGAAATATCTCCAAAAGTTATAAAATTCTCCCCATATGATATTAGTATTTACATCTCTGTAAGGTTTTTATCTGGTTATTAGCATAGTTATTTTGGGAACTGATCTCATGCATAATAAGACAAATAAGAAACTTCTCCTCTTAATTCATGTGAGGGAAATTATCTTTCCCAAAAAGCCAAACTACCTATAAGAGATCATTTACTTCAAAGGAACAATTTACTGCCAGTAAGATACAGTTTAAATTCTCACTTTCTACAGTATACCCTGACCTGTTATTATTATTACTAAAAATGTAAAAATCTCATGGGATACAAAACAAAATTAGGCTTGGTACAAGCCCACTTTAAAGAAATAATTACACTGACCTCATTTTCACACTATTCATATTAATAGTATGACTCAAATGAGCTGAGGACAGCTCACATTCTAAGAACAGTAGAGCCCTGGACTTCCATTTTCAACTGATGCATGAAAGGACATTTTTTTTCCTTAAAATGCACATTCCTTCTTCAGCTTGATATTTCTTTCCATGTTTATGGTTTTTTTTTTTTGATAAGTCAAAAAGAGAGGGGGTTCTGCACTCAGATTAACAAAGATAAGAACAAAGGAGGAAGCCCAGAAGTTAACAGGGGAGACACCGTCTTCTGGGCCTAGTTTTGTTGTTGGTTCAGATGCTCCCAAAGGGAAGAGAAAATTCAACTAAAAAGATAAAATGTAGTTCACCCCCAAAACATTATGAGCTGAAGATAATTTTTTTTCTATTTATAGATACACACTGCCTTGGTAAAAAAAATAAAAATTCATACACACAGACACACACATATACATATAGAGTGTTCATATTTTATAATTTCAAAAAATTAAAATTATTTCTATCTGTGAGACAACAACCTCATTTCTTACTTCAAGATAAACATTAAAGTTACTTTCTAAGTGACTATTTATAGGGCTTACAGATGTCCACTAATATAGGAAGCTCCACTCCCCCAAGAAATAGCATGGGACAACAGAACACCAGGTATGACACCTGAGGGTGGACAGTGGAGGACTTCCTGATTTTATATGCATTAACAGTCCACAGCTACAATTTAAAAAAGTAATCTCTTGTCCTTGGGACGTGCATGGAAAATAGAAGCATTGCCTGCTCAAATGATTTTCTGAGCTTTTGTAAATCTCTGAAGGGATACTGAAGTATGGGTGTTGTTTATTTAACATTAAGGAGTATATGTGCACTATGATAGATAATTCTATGTGTCAGTTTGTATAGGTCGAAGTACCCAGGTATTTGGTCAAACATTATTCTGGATGTTTCTGTGTAGGTGTGTTTTGAATAGGACTAACATTTTAATCAGTGGACCTGAGTAAAGCATTACCCTCCCTAATCTGGGTGGGCCTCAAACAATCAGTTGAAGGCCTTAATAGAACAAAGACGATTTCCCCCTAGAAAGAAGGAACTCTGCCAGCAGACTGTCTTCAGACGCAAACTGCAACTCTTTCCTGAGTCTCCAGCCTGCCAGCCTCGCCCATCAGATTTTGGATTCACCAAGCCTCCACAATTACATGAGCCAATTCCTTAAAATAAATCTCTCTATATACATATACATATCCCATTGGTTCTGTTTTTCTGAAGAATCCTGATTAATACATGCATACACAAAAGAATTGATCTATTAACCTCTATTTTAGATCTACTTCTATAACTGATTTTTAGATATTATCTGCATATCACTTTGTAATAGCCTTCAGCTTTATAAAGGCTTGAGGTCAAAACCAGCAGGCTCTGGAGAGCCACATGTTCTTATTTATTTATGAAACCAGTTGGTGGGGATACGAGTTTATTTGCCATCTGATTCCTTTTTATTTGAGTCAAGATCAATTTACAGGGACCTAGTCTATCCAAAAGACAGATGATTTCTGAACTCTGTAAGGAAAGACAATGAAATAGGGACAAAGCAGCTCTGTAGTGAGAACATTTTCCTTCTAGTTATTGCATTAAATATAGCATCAAGAGCAGCTGGAATTAAGGGAAAAGACAGCTCTAGCACCTACTTAAGCACTAGCCTTAGATGTAGTTTCTATTGTCAGGCAAAATGCCTTGGGCTGAATTCATGTGAACTCACATTACATTAGATGTATAAAAAGGAGCAAAACAAAACTTATAAGAGAGAAGAATAACACTGGAGCTGGTATCTTTTTTTTTTTTTTTTTTTTTACAGTGATTACCTCTGAAAAAGCTGTATGCATAGTCTATTGAGCATTGTGGCCAGAACTCCCGGCTTCAAGGTCTCCATGTCACAGATGGTTTATCAGGAGAAAAATGATAATGGCTGAAAACTGCATGGGTTTTTATTGTTAATGGGGGCAAGGATAGGAACAGCCTGTTATACCAAGAATAACGAGAATATCATTCTCATTGTTATACAGCGCAAATTATAGATGAAACAAACTGCTAACTTCAGGTACATTGCTTGTTGAAATAAGAACTTTTATGATGTTAAGGAGGACAAAGAAAGAAGACCTGTTTCTTAGCTCCACAACTTTCTGCATTTGTGATTCCTTAGGCTACTTGATTAATTTCATGTGTCATTATCCACGGAAAATAAAGGACATGATAACTTGAAAATTTCTCTTAATATTTTGTGATGCATACACTTAGCCATCTTCAGTTTTTATTCACTGCTAGTAGAAATACATCAGCTCAGAACATAATGCAATCAGACACATAAGTTATCTGATGCCAAAAGGTACTTACAATGACCATGCTTGGGGTTAGAAGGCCGATTTCTTTTTGTATGGGGTATTTAGGACTTGCCTTTCTTTGAAGTTGACCACAGTCAAGAACTTTAGAGACACAGTTTGCATTCAGAAATGAGCAGCAAACTGTTCCAGCTGACTCCACAGGGGCAGCATGTGATGGCTTAGACACTCAGAGGATTATCTGCCAGGACTTACATGCTTCAAGAAGAAATTATGTTCCCTTCTTTCAAGAAGAGCCTTTTTCTCTTAATTCAATAGAAATAATATTATTCAATTTGTATAACTATTTCTTACATGCTCAGGAAAAAAAATGAGAAGACAGATAGTTCCTTTTGTATACTATTTGCATTCGGATAAGAGGTCTATTTCAGTTCTTTGGTCTGTTTGAGTTCCTGGCTACCTCCTGCCTTTATGTAAATTATCATACACATTGTTTGCATGGTGACTAATGTGATTTTCCCTTATTTAGAATTCACAGATGTTTTATACCATCCTTGTTAATGTACATCTTGATTTATGTCACAGTTGATGTTTCAAAGCTAAGGAGGCAACTGCTAAATGAGCTGATGCATCCAGTTGTAACTCAATCATGAGTAATTTTGCTCCTGAAATAGTCTGGAGTTTTTAAATATAAATATTTCCATTGTGACTTGATTTCTATGTAGCAATGGCCAGTAAATTGTAAGAAAAAGGAGCCACAGCAGGGTGTAACCTTCATACTCTCTACTGAGACTGTATATTATTGCCAGTGATCCACAACATAAAATCCTGTACACGGGCTTTCAAAGATGTGGACACCCAGAGAACATATGACTAAGAAACTATTTTCCCACCCCCCTCTCACTTTGCTCTCATCTTAATACTTTAGCATCAGAAATGTGCTGCATTTAAGGAGCAGATGAGTAAATATTAATATATAGTTTCAAAATGTCTAATTCTCAGAGAAATTGTTCCAATTCTCCATATTCTTTAAAAATATTTTAACTGTTCTTCAAAACCTAATGATTTTTTCTCAAAATTGTATTCTATTTCATATACAGTGATTATCAGAGGTTCCCACAAATTTATTCCAAACAATTTGTTCTTCACATAAGCTTTGGGTACCTAACCAAATGATGAACAGGATCACAGGTGGCAAGAGCCCAGGCCTGAACTGACAGGTCAGTGAATGGGGAGTCTCCCTCCCCCTGACTGTCTTAGGCCTCCTTTACCTTCCTTCCTCCTCTAATTGTTGTTGTCCTAAGAGACCAGCTTCAGTGCAGCTCAAAGGCCTCACTGTCATTACCAAACCCCCAAACTTCAAT
This sequence comes from Homo sapiens, assembly GCF_000001405.40. Taxonomy (NCBI): domain Eukaryota; kingdom Metazoa; phylum Chordata; class Mammalia; order Primates; family Hominidae; genus Homo; species Homo sapiens. The sequence continues at coordinate 79,173,894 of NC_000004.12, read as the reverse complement.
GGCTCAAATTTCCAGGTCCAGGGCCAGCCTAGGCATTAAAGCTGTGTAAAATCTCACTTAACCTTATAAATAACATATATCATTCCAAGTAAAAAGAAATAAAGCTAACATTGTCTTCTCATTAGCCCCAGAACGTGGAACATACCTTATTAATGCCCACCTCTTTGCCTTGGCCATGCTTCCTCCCCTCCCAGCCGTTGTTCTCCCCCACGAGAATATCTTCTCTTTTCTGCTTCTTAGTGGTTCTATTCTCAGTATCTGAAACTCTCATTTTCTGTGAAGTTTTCCCAGGTGGTTACAGCCTCTTTCCAAAATCCTAGAGACTTTATTTGTTGTTGTATTTATCTATGTTCTTAATCATATGTTAATAACTTATTAAATCAATATTTATTAAACATCTAGTATATACCAGGTACTGTTCTATGTATGAGATGAGATGGTAAACAAGACACACAAGGATCTTGTGAAGGTTACCAATCTACCTAGTTTCAATATACCTCCTGTGTGTTTTTCCATCTCCCAGTGAGTATAAAATGTGGTGCCAACCGTAGAGTACCACCATGTAACACTTTTATTAGCTCATATAGAATCTAGTTCAACACATAGCTGATTGAATGATTAGAGACTGGCACTGCAACAGATCAATGTTGCCTGAGCCACTGACGCTTCCTGTCCCACTATCCCCACAACCTTTCACCTTTTCATCTAACCTCAAGTTCATATAATTACATCAACTGAGGTTACAGTAAGCATTCTGTCTTCTATTAGCAGAAACTATCTTCAAAATCTCCTTTTCGTTCTACCCACGAAAGTATATCCATCTTGGCTCGCTGGAGTTTCCATATTGGTGTTATTTGCACTATCTAATATGAACTAAGAGAGCAACAAGTGTGGTCTTATGGAAAAGAATGAAATGTGGAGTCAGGAGACAGCAGTTCTGGTTAAAGTCCTGCCAAATTTGAGTTATTTAAGCTCTCTGTGCCTCTGCAGTCTTAGCTGTAAAATAACAGTTGAGCAAGATTGCCTCTAATACCCCTTCTAAATCTACTAGTATTCTATGATTGCTATTCTGTTTCTTCATGATTGTTATGTAACTGCCCAACTAATTCTGACTTATAGTTTTCAGTCTCAGGAATTAAAGGTGAGGTAGGGTGTTTTACATTTATTTAAGTGCTTCTAAATCTAGAGAAGAGCGAAGGATATGGACAGCTTGAAAAAGCTACCCCAGGTAATTTTGGTAACCTTTGCCACCCTCCCAACCACATAGAGACCCCCTTGTGTACATGAAGGAGAGGCTGTAAAGGAAATATTCTTAAAATAAACTTTGAGTGTTACTGACTTTCATCATATGTTTAAATAAAACTCATCTGTGCAAACAACCAGAGACTTAGGGAAAAAAATCCAGAAAATAAATAGCTGCCTGGCATCTGTAGGGAAGTGTTTAAAGCATATAATTAAAGTGCCAACTGTGTTCTCAGATAAACTGTTTTTTCCCTTGGAAAAAAAGTTAATAAGTAGTTTCACAATACAATTGGGGGTCTTATTAATTTTTTTAAAAAATATATAATTTTGAGAGTGGTTCAAGGAAATGGTTCCAATATCAGTAAACAGATCTTGAGAGGGAAATTTTTATTATTAGGAGGGAGCATATCCTCACTGATTTATTTCATTTTATATTCTGTAGAGTAGTCATGAAGCCTTTGAAAGCATTGTTTTTCCAACGTATAAGTGATAAAAATCACAGATTATGACTCAGAATGAAAGAAAAGAATATAAACTTATAGCAAAATAGACAAGTTCCTGATTTCATACCTTTTCCTGTCAATTTTATTATTTTCTGCCTTTCCTATTGTTCATATTCTTCTTAATGTCCTAAGTTTCTGAACCTAATCAACTTTCTACACTCATAAAATAAAAAAAGTAGAAACAAATAAACCAATAATTAATGCATACTTACTAGAATTTGTGCTAGGCACTTTTCCTCACAGAATCTCCAAATAGCAGATCAACCAAATGTTATTTGTATTACTTTTTGTGATTCATTTTGGGTAACAGTATTTTATAGTAGATTTGTCCCTTTAAGAATTTGCTAAGTACTCCTAAATATGTGTCATAGAACAAGGAGATAGGCAACCTAAGATTAAATATTGATCATAGATAAGCCACAAAGTAAATAATCCACGGTAACATTTTCTCTGAAATTATAAGATCTATGTTACCTTATACAATAATGGTGCTATGTTCACATTGAAATAATCCCTGGCTTCATTATAAATCCATATGAGATGCTTCAGCACCTGTACCTCCCCCTTCAGAGTCTTTACTATATAATAACTATATAATTACTGCTGTATTTGCCCATATTTTATCTACAGTCTAAATGTCCATTTTATGCTGCTATAGCAGAATACCTGAAACTGGGTAATTTATAAAGAACAGATTTTGATTTCTTACAGCTCTGGAGGCTGGGAAGTCCAAGATCAAGGGGCCCACATCTGGTGAAGACCTTCATGCTGTGTCATCCCACAGTGAAAGGTGGAAGGGCAAGAGAGTAAACATGACATGGAGAGAAAAGAGGGCCAAACTCATCATTTTATCAAGAGCCAACTCCTGCAATATCTAACCCACTCCCACAATATATAATTCACTCCCACAATAATGACATTAATCCATTTATGAAGGCAGAGCCCTTATGACCTAATCACCTATTAAAAGTCCAAGCTTTCAACACTGTTGCCTTGGGGATTAGGTTTCCAACACATGAACTTTTGGAGACACATTCAAACCATGGCTATTCTCTAGATTCTTAACATCTCAAGAGAGCAGAGAGTGTTTCCAGGGCCAAGCACTATGTTATCAACATGAGAGGAACATAACAAATATATATTAACTGAATGTATAAACAAACTCTAAAAGAATCTTTCATAGCTTGGATTTTAGTGAATGCTATATTTTTTTTTTGTTTTTTTGTGAATGCTATAACATTTAACTATTACTTTACATAGCCATCTCAGTTAATCAAAGATAAATTTTTCTTGTATTTACACAAAACAAGTGTTTTGGCTTTTTCTCTAACATTTAAGATTACTTTTTTTAAAAAAACTTAGATCACAGATGTAAAAATATTCAGAAGGAGGAACAGAGGAAAAGGAGAGAAAGCCTGAGGCTGGTAATGAAGAAATAAAACTTCTAAGCCTTAATTTTTTGAAAAGACAAATTAATATATTTTCTCAAGTTTTCTTGAAGTTTTTCTAGGCCTTCATATGCAAACTTTCCACCAATTACAAAAAGACATTAACACAGTCCCTGAAACGGAGCCAAAATGCAAAGTCCTTTCTGACCTCAGGGTCTTTGAACATTCTAGCTTCTGCCAGGGTATCTAGCTTCCCTGGCATACACTTGATTAACTGTTTTATAGACTTCAAGTCTTAGCAAAAATATGGCTCTTCAGAGAGGAGAAACATCTGAATGTCCTCTCTTTATAATGGAATCTCCACATGGCTTCTCCATGTCTCCAGCATGATGTCTACAGGCATACAATGTATGTGTCCCAAGTGATAGAGAGCCAGGTGGAAGCAAGACTGGTGACATAATTTGTAAAGCCCAGTGGAAACTGAAAATGGAAAGCCCCTTGTCCAAAAATACCAAGAATTTCAAAACAATAACAGTAGAGCATTCAACCAATGTGAGGCCCTTCTGAGTGCAGGACCCTGTGTGATTGCACAAATCCCATGCGCATGAAGCTGGCCCTAGGTGGAATGTATTGTATCTCAGGATCTAGCATCACTTTGTATCATTTGTGATGCATTCTGTTCATCAAGGCAGTCATAAAGACCCACCCAAATTCAAAAGAAAGGGAAATAAATCCACCTCTTGTGGGCGTGGCTATAATCCAGAAGAGCATGTAGGGTCAGAAATACTGCTATGGCCATTTCTGAAAATACAGTCTGCCACGTTTGCTATAAACGACTTGTTCACCTTTGGAGAACAGAAACATGTCTGATATGGTTTGGATCCATGTCACATACAATTCGTGTCATCTCCAATGTTGAAGGTGGAGCCTGGTGGGAAGTGATTGGATCATGGGAGCAGATGTTCCCCTTGGTGTTGTTTTCATGATAGTGAGTGAGTTCTAATGAGATCTGGTTGTTTAAAAGCATGTAGCATTTTGTTGCCATTGCTATTGGTGTTTTAGTCATTCTTTGCCCATGCCTATGTCCTGAATGGTATTGCCTAGGTTTTCTTCTAGGGTTTTTATGGTTATAGGTCTTCAGTCTTTAATCCATCTTGAGTTAATTTTGTATAAGGTATGAAGACGGGGTCCAGTTTCAGTTTTCTGCATATGGCTAGCCAGTTTTACCAACAACATTTATTAAATAGGGAATATTTTCCCCATTGCTTGTTTTTGTCAGGTTTGTCAAAGATCAGATGGTTGTAGGTGTGTAGTGTTACTTCTGAGGCCTCTATTCTGTTCCATTGATCTATATATCTGTTTTGGTACCAGTACCATGCTGTTTTGGTTACTGTAGCCTTGTAGTATAGTTTGAGGTCAGGTAGCATAATGCCTCCAGCTTTGTTCTTTTTGCTTAGGATTGTCTTGGTTATACAAACTCTTTTTTTATTCCATATGAAATTTAAAATAGTTTTTTCTAATTCTATGAAGAAAATCAATGGTAGCTTGATGGGGATAGCATTGAATCTATAAATTACTTTGTGCAGCATGGCCATTTTCAGGATATTGATTCTTCCTATCCATGAGAATGGGATGTTTTTCCATTTGTTTATGTCCTCTCTTATTTCCTTGAGCAGTGGTTTGTAGTTCTCCTTGAAGAGGTCCTTCACATCCCTTGTAAGTTGTATTCCTAGGTATTTTATTCCCTTTGTAGCAATTGTGAATGGGAGTTCACTCATGATTTGGCTCTCTGCTTGTCTATTATTGGTGTATAGGAATGCTTTTGATTTCTGCACATTGATTTTGTGTCCTGAGACCTTACTAAAGTTGCTTATCAGCTTAAGGAGATTTAACTAAAGAGCTTCTGCACAGCAAAGAAACTATCATCAGAGTGAACAGGCAACCTACAGAATGGGAGAAGATTTTTGCAATCTATTCATCTGACAAAGGACTAATATTCAGAATCTACAAAAAACTTAAACAAATTTACAAGAAATAAACAAACAACCCCATCAAAGAGTGGGCAAAGGATATGAACAGGCAATTCTCAAAAGAAGACATTTATGTGGTAAATAAACATGTGAAAAAGAGCTCATCATCACTAGTCATTAGAGAAATGCAAATCAAAACCACAATGAGATACCATCTCACGCTAGTTCGAATAGTAATCATTAAAAAGTCAGGAAACAACAGATGCTGGAGAGGATGTGTAGAAACAGGAACACTTTTACAGTGTTAGTGGGAGTGTAAATTAGTTCAACCATTGTGGAAGACAGTGTGGCGATCTCTCAAGGATCTAGAACCAGAAATACCATTTGACCTGGCAATCCCATTACTAGGTATATATCCAAAGGATTATAAGTCATTCTACTATAAAGACACATGCACACATATGTTTATTGTGGCACTGTTCACAATAGCAAAGACTTGGAACCAACCCAAATGGCCATCAATGATAGACTGGATAAAGAAAATATGGCACATATGCACCACAGAATACTATGCAGCCATAAAAAAGGGTGAGTTCATGTCCTTTACAGGGACATGGATGAAACTGGAAACTGTCATTCTCAGCAAACTAACACAGGAACAGAAAACCAAACACTGCATGTTCTCACTCATAAGTGGAAGTTGAACAATTAGAACACATGGACACAGGGAGGGGAAGATCACACACCAGGGCCTGTTGGGGGGTAGGGGGCTAGGGGAGGGACACATTAGGAGAAATACCTAATGTAGATGATGGGTTAATGAGTGCAGCAAACCACCATGGCACAGGTGCACCTATGTAACAAACCTGCACGTTCTGCACATGTATCCCCGAACTTAAAGTACAATAAAATAAATAAATAAAATTTAAAGAGTAAAAAAAAAGTGTGTAGCACTTCCCCATCTCTCTCTTCCTTTTGACCCAGCCATGTGAAGTGCTGGCTTCCCCTTCGCCTTCCATGATGATTATAATTTTCCTGAGGCCCCCTGAGAAGCTAAGCAGATGCCAGCCTCATGCTTCCTGTACAGCCTGTGGAATCATGAGCCAATTAAACCTCTTTTCTTGATAACTTACCCAGCTTCAGTTATTTCTTCATAGCAATGAGAGAATGGACTGATACTATCAAACTTGGAAAACTCACACTGACAACTATAATAGCTACCACATATTAGGAAACTTTTTCTAGGTGGGGTACTGATCGAGCACTTCAGAAACATCATCTCATTTAATCCTCATGACTCCCCATTTAATAGGTATGGTGCAGATACTATTATCCCTATCATAGAACTGATGTTCTTGATATCTATCCCTATCATTGGACTTGATTTAGACTGATGTTAAGAGCTTTTATAACTGTTAAGTGTTGTTGAAGTAAATTTCCCAAAACATAAGTCCTGATGGGACTGTACTCTTCCCTGATTTCTTACCACGTCTCTCTCTCTCTCTCTCTCTCTCTCTCTCTATATATATATATATATGTGGGTGTGTGTGTGTGTATACATACATATATGTGTATATATGTATATATATGTATGTATATATATAAAATAAGTTGTCTATTCTCTCTCTCCATATACATATATATATATATATATATATAAAATAAGCTGTCTTAATAGCTCACAATTTCCCTTCCGTTTCCCCTTCTTTGGTGACTTGGTGACTCCCCATACCTCATACCTCCATCCTCCAGCACCCATAATCATGTGACTAATTCCAGTACCCTAGCTATAAGAGACAAAACTGGGCCAAAGTTTCACCCCTCAAATGGGAGGTAGGAGAAAGAGAAACAGAGACAGATGATAAAGATCAGATGATTTCTGGCCAGGCATGGTGGCTCATGCCTGTAATTTTTTTTTCTTTTTTTGAAACAGTCTTGCTCTGTTGCCCAGGCTGGAGCGCAGTGGGGTGTCCTGCCTCACTGCAACTTCCACCTCCCAGGTTGCAGCAATTCTCCTGCCTCAGCCTCCCAAGTAGCTGGGACTACAGGTGCGTGCCACCACGCCCAGCTAATTTTTGTATTTTTTAGTAGAGACGGGGTTTCACCATGTTAGGCAGGCTGGTCTTGAACTCCTGACCTTGTGATCCGCCCGCCTCAGCCTCCCAAAGTGCTAGGATTACAATACCTGTAATCCTAGCACTTTGGGAGACCCCAGGCAGGAGGATCACTTGAGGCCAGGAGTTCAAGACCAGCCTGTCTCAAAAAAAAAAGTAATAGGCAGGTATGGTAGTGCACACCTATAATTCTAGCTACTAGGGAGACTGATAGAGGAGGATCAGTCTAGGACTTTGAGGCTGCAATGAGCTGAGTTATGTTTGCACCACTACACTCCAGCCCCCACATCAAAGTAAAACCCTGCCTCTTAAAAAAAAGTTCAGTTGTTCAGCTGGATCTGAAATAATAAAACTGTGCACTGTAAGAAATTCTATTTCCCATTCTGTATTCTAAGAACAATAGAACATAGGTGTATAGAAAGGGGAAAAAACCGTGGTTAGAGAGCAGCAAGACGTGCAAGAGAAAGATGGTGCTACAATTTTAAGTTAAGATGATAAGTTTTCTCAGTCTACTCCTGAGGCCCAACTATGTCTCTGATCTTGAGATTCTTTCATGCCACCAGGATATACTTTCATGTTTTGCTGTTGTTGGCTTAAGTACTTCTCCATTATTGCTAGCAAAATAATCCTACCACCTATAGGTAAAATAACAGCTTTCCTCAATTAATAGAGAGTAAATTCTAGAAATAGATAATGTGCTTCCTAAATAAAAGAAAAGAAAGTCATCCTTCTTTAAAGGCTCTGTAAATTACTGAGGCAAAACCAAGTTACCACTTACTTTTAGGCAATAACTAAGTCAAAAGACTATGTATAAACAGTTAGATGAAGTAGATACTTTGTAACCACTATTAGGAATAAATTTAAAATCACAGCCAAGTCAATCTAAGCTGTTTCCGTCTACCTTCAGGATTGTAAAATAAAAACCTTTACCTCTGCAGAAGAGATTTTCCTCCAGTCTCTGCAGCCCATTTTGAAGCGAGCTGTGAAAATGCTTTATATATTTTGTAGATGTCTCCCAGTTTTTAAAAAGAAGAACATTGGGTGAAATGTGCTTCTCCACCCTCCCCTAGCATACTCACTTTAATTACTGATTCATTATCCAATTCTACATATATTTCATGGTAGCTTTGGCATCACTGGAGAAGCACTCCAGCATATGTCAACACAACTTCCTCCAGGTTCTGTGCAAAGGGAGAGTAACAGGAAGAGCTCTACTCCTGTCTGAAGAGACTTGCTTTCCTTCTCTCATTCTTTGCATACCCTGGGCCTCCAGCTTCTTCATTTGGGGAACCATTTCCCAAGCCTGCAGTTTAGAGTGGAGGGGATGGGAGGAGGGGCTCAGATTCTGGTGAACAGCTGGGGCCCATCACTTCTCATTGCAGGTCTTGGGGAGATGTGGTTGACAGAGTGATGCACAGAGCCTGTCCCAGTTAATGACTTCACCATTCTCCATCATTATCCCCATCATTAGGAAATTAGGAGGACAGAAGGTATTTACTGTAAACCTGCCACCTCCCAAGGAGAGATAAATAGAAACTGATAAATGGGCTCTTCTGGTGCTGTTTGTCTATTAACCTTCTGCTTCCCAGCTCCGGCATATGCATGCCATCCTGCCATTAATATCCAGTAATTGGCATGGCAGCAGGCAATACAATCATACCTTTACTGTGAGTGTTCCCTCCGTGTGGTGTGCCTGTGCAAGCACACAATTACGTTCATAATGAAGCTTTGCTAAACAATCCGGTTGAAAGACATTAGGCAGTTGTTCCCCAGCTATAACACCAGCCTCCCACAGTCATTCAATGCTTAACTCTTCACTAGCCTGGGTACGAGATGCCATTGCTAATCTTTCTGCTGTCCTTGCACACATTATACTCTTTCCCTTAAAGGTAGATACATTCTGTTAACAGCTTCTTTGTTAACTCTGTGTTCCTTGGGAGCAAAGTCATATATTGCCAGCTTATGAATGATCTGAAACCACTTCACCTGGCTGACTGACTGGCACGAGGGAAGCATGGAGTTTTGTCTGTGTTGGGGCCACTGGTGACCACCTGGGGCTATTTGTCACCAGTTGAGAGCCAAGCTGTTTAGCAGTGTTTCCCAAGGAGATTTTGTGTTCTTTATCACATTTCTAGATAACTAAGTGGGTGAAAGAGTGTATCTCATCAAGCGTATTTTCTGTGTGATAAGGGAGGAGATAGGAAGGTAATAACCTTGGTGTCTTCTCTTAGAAAGACACCGTCCTCAATGTTTGTCTGCTCAAGACACTTGGGAATTTTGAAGGAGCATGAATCCCAGGAGATCCTGAAAGAGTTCACAGAAAACCAAGGCCCACAAAGAAAGCCACTTCATTCTGTTACCCATCTGCTCACACCGTGGCTGCAAAATGAACATTTGGTCTCTGCTTCCCTGACCTATTTCTCCCCCAGTTAAATTCCTGTGTTTACTATGAAGTCTATGAAGACTACAATAGTGACTGCAGTGGGCAGACTGTTTCATCACAGGATGAAACATGAAAAACCAAGATGAGTAATTTCTTAAAAGCACAGGATGGGTTCTATGAAATGAATCAACCTGGTCCTAAACATGGCCCTAAAAAAAAATACAGTAGCAAGAGGGAGGTGAGGTTGGGGAGAGGTAATATCAGCAAAGAGATAAAAAGCGATAAAAAGACCGAGAAGAAAATGACATGACAACCTTATTACTGGTGTTCAGGAACCATAGCCTCTCTGTCAGAAAAATACCAGATCACCCATTTGAGAACTTCATAAAACTAAATGATCAATAGATTATAGCTCTGGCCCTCCTTCCACACGGCATAAAACAAATAATAATATCTCCAATAAATATAACAAATAGGGTAATCTTTCCTATCTCCTGCAAACCCCTGACAGAATGTGCTACAGGATCTTTTCATTGTGTCTTCAGGAGGATGCTAAGCAGCTTGCCAGACTCCCAGTCAAGCACAGCCTCTCCAGCTGTCTTCCAAGCATCCACCTTTAAATACAGAATCTGGATGTAGCTGGATGGCCTTGCACTCCTGGAAGCTTTCATTCTGCAGAAATACCTGGGAACAAACCTTGTGTCAGTCAGCATTCTATTAACTAAAATTCCCAAGCACTGATGCCAGCAGACACCTCTAGTATAATGCTAATGTTTGTAATGATGACCCAGTGACAGGCTAAGAAATTGATGTCAATTCTGCCTCTTCTTCACCATTCCTTACTTCTATCTGCTTTATTTATTTTTTTATTTTTTAACCCTCCCCACAGCCCCACAGTTCTCATGGAAGAAAGGGCCTGCTTAATGTTTTTATGAAGCCCTTTCACATGATCTCTTCTAGTTCACAGCAAAGCCTCACGCAGTAGTCAAGAGATGATATTAGAATCCCTATTGTACAACTGCGGAAATGCACATTCAGGAAAGGTAAGTGACTTTCTCAGTTCACATAGCTAGGACCCAAGTCTTCTTTCCTTTTCAGAGCTGCTGTGCTGCCAACTCTAAAAGACACCATTCATGTTGTATTCTGTGTGAACAGCACTCCTGAATTTGGGCAACACAGATGTCCTGAAAATCAACAATATGGTGGAAATAGGAGGGGCTTTGGAATCAGAGACTTAGTTTTACCACTTATATTAGCTGCATTACTCTAAATAATGTTTAAATTTCTCTGAAGTTTGTTTCCCTATCTGTAAGATGGGATGATGGTAATAACAGTTCCTACTTCATAAATGTAACACATATGTTGTTAGTATATAATAATATATGAAAAATACTTCCTATTTACTTCTATTTATCTTTCCCTTTCCTATAATGGACACTACCATGTTGCCTCTTTAGGAAAAGCTTAATGGAGATACATTTTACAGTATTCCAGCTCTTTGGATATTGGTAGACTATGTAACATAATGCTGTCTCTCCTTTTAAATAGATTAAGATTAACCAGAGTATTTCATTCCCATGCCATGCCAGATTAATATAATCTCAAGTTGACTCAGTTAAGAAACAACATTTTTTCTTCTTTTGTAAAATGTAAAACATACACAAAGGTGCCATAGACTGTGACTAAAGGATTAGTTATAATCATGGGATATTTGTGGACAGCATAAAATAAAAATACACCATAAGACCATTTACAATTCTTCTGGCATTCTCACCACAAAAATTTCTCTCTAATTCACTCCTCTTTAGTACTCACTAATCACCATGAGTGCAGCTGGGTCACTCTTGCAGGTGTGTCCTTTTCATCCATGTCTCTTTTTCCATGTCAAGAGGCTTATCAATCCCAATTTTAAGCACTGACAATTCTAAGACCCCCAGTTTTTTATTAGGCAGAACTATTTAGTTCTCCGGGATTCAACACTTACCTTTCAGATCATGCTCAAGCTTTCTTCACTTAGGCAGAATACCACCTTTCCCAACCTAGAAGCTTTTGGAAATACATGGGAATATTTACTGGTTATCAAAATTACAGGGGCCAAGTTCAGCAAGATGGCAAGATGCAAGACCAATATACAAAAATCAGTTATATTTCTACATACTAGCAATAAACATTGTAAAAATAAAATAAAGAAAATAATTCCACTTATAGCATTAAAAGAATGAAATATTTAGAAATAAGTTTCTCAAAGAAGTGCAACACATGCATACTAAAAACTACAAAATACTGTGGAATGAAATTAAAGAAGAACTAAGTAGGCCGGGTGTGGTGGCTCACGCCTCTAATCCCAGCACTTTGGGACGCCGAGGTGGGCAGATCATGAGGTCAGGAGTTCGAGACCAGCCTGGCCAATATGGTGAAACCCTGTCTGTACTAAAAATAGAAAAATTAGCCAGGGGTGGTGGCATGCGCCAGTAGTCCCAGCTACTCAGGAGTCTGAGGCAGAAGAATCACTTGAACCCGGGAGGCCGGGAGGTGGAGGTTGCAGTGAGCCGAGATCATGCCACTGCACTCCAGCCTGGGCGACAGAGCAAGACTCCATCTCAAAAAAAAAAAAAACTAAGTAAAAGGAAAGATATCCCACATACATGGATTAGGAGACTCAATATTGCTAAGATGGAAATACTTCCCAACCTGGTCCACAGATTCAATGCAATCCCAATTAATATCTCAACCTCCTGTTTTGTGGATATTGACATGAAGATACTAAAATTTACATTAAAATTTAAGGAATCCAGAATAGCAAAAAACACCCTTGGAAAAAAATAAATTTGGGGGTTTCACACTTTCTGACTTCAAAATTTCTTACAAAGCTATAGTAATCAAAACAGTATGCTACTGGTACAAGGATAGTCATACAGATAATTGGAATAGAATTTAGATCCAGAAATAAACCCTTATACTTAAGATCAATAGACTTTTGACAAGGGCTCCAGGATTCTTCTGAGGCAGAAGAATTGCTTGAACCCAGGAGGTGGAGGTTGCAGTGAGCCAAGATCGTGCCAATGCACTCCAGCCTGCGCAACAGGGAAAGAATGGGAATGGGAAAGAATAGTCTTTTCAAGAAATAATGCTGAGACAACTGAATTTGCAAAAGAATGAAGCTGGATACCTACTTCACAACATAGACAAAAGAAAACCCTCAAAATGAATCACAGAATAAATGTAAGAGCTAAAAGTATAAAGCTCTTGGAAGAAAACCTAAATCCTTGTAATCTTGGATTAATCAATGGTCTCTTAGACATGATACCAAATACACAAACAGAAAAAGAAAAATAAGTAATCAGACTTAACCATCCCAAATTTACTTAAACACCCACATTTATTTTTTTCAAGGGTGTTTTTTTCCTATTCTGGATTCCTTAAATTTTCATGTAAATAATATATAAAATTAAAAACTTTTATGTTTCAAAGAACATCATCAAGAAAGTGAAAAGACAGTGCATAGAATGGGGAAAAATATTTGCAAATATATATCTGATAACAGGCTTATTGCCAAAATATATAAAGAACTCTCACAACTCAACCGTTTAAAAATTCGATTTTAAAATGGGCAAAAGATTTAAATAAAAATTTCTCCAAAGATATACCAACAGCTAATAGCCACATAAAAAGATACTAAAAAATCATTAGTCATTATGGAAATACAAATCAAAACCACAATTAGATACAACTTCACATCTACAGTCATTGCTGTAATAAAAAAGACAGGCAATAACAAGTGTTGAGCATGTGGAGAAATTAGTACCCCATGCACTACTGGCGGTGGAAAATGGTGCAGCTGCTGTGGAAAACAGTCTGACAGCTTCTCAAAAAGTTACCATAGGACCTAGCAACTCAACTCTTAATAATATATCAAAAGAATTGAAAACAATAGTCCATAAAAAATGTGTACGCATATGTTTAAGCAGGATTATTTATAATAGCTAAAAAGTAGAAACAACTCAGCTGGGCACGGTGGCTCATGCCTGTAATCCCAACACTTTGGGAGGCCGAGGCGGCTGGATCACCTGAGGTCAGGAGTTCGAGACCAGCCTGGCCAATGTGGTGAAACCCCATCTCTACTAAAAATACAAAAATTAGCTGAGCATGGTGGCAGGCACCTGTAATCCCAGCTACTTGGGAGGCTGAGGCAGAAGAATAACTTGAACCTGGGAGGCGGAGGTTGCAGTGAGCTGAGATTGCACCATTGCACTCCAGCCTGGGCAACAAGAGCAAAACTCTGTCTTAAAAAAAAAAAAAAAAGAAAGTAGAAACAACTCAAATATCTATCTAGATGAACAAAAATATCTAATAGATGAACAAAAGTTAGTATATCCATATAATTGAATAGTATTTGGCAATAAAAGAAGAAAAAAACTGACACATTCTACAACATGAATGAATTTTTGAAACATTATATTAAGTGAAAAGAGTCAGTCACGAAAGGGCACATATTATATATTTCCATTTATATAAAATGTCCGGAAAAGGTATATTTATACAAACAAAAAGTAGATTCATGGTTTTCAAAGAACAGAGGGAAGGATAATGGGGAGTGACTTCTAATTATTAGGTTGGTGCAAAAGTAGTTGTTTTTGCCATTGCTTTTAAAAATGGAGGAAACTGTAATTACTTTTCACCAACCTAATAGTATAGTATTTCTTTGGGGGGTGATTAAATGTTTTGGAAATAGATCATGGTAATTGTACAAGTTTGTGAATACATTAAAAATCACTGAACTGTATACTTTAAAATAGTGATGTTTACATTCTCACCAGCAGTGTAGAAATGTCCTTTTTCACTGCATCCAAGCCAACTCTATTATTTTTTATTTTTTATTAATGGTCATTCTTGCAGGAGTGAGGTGGTATCAAATTGTGGTTTTGATTTGCATTTCCCTGATCATTGGTGATGGTGAGCATGTTTTCATGTATTTGTTGACCATTTGTATATCTGCTTTTGGGAACTGTCTATTCATATCCTTAGCCCACTTTTTGATGTGATTGTTTGCTTTTTTCCTTGCTAATTTGAGTTCCTTGTAGATTCTGCATATTAGTGCTTTGCCAGACCTATAGATTGCAAAGATCTTCTCCCACTCTGTGGGTTGTCTGTTTACTCCGCTGACTGTTCCTTTTGCAGTGCAGAAGCTCTTTAGTTTAATTAAGTGTAGCCTATTTATCTTTGCTTTTCTTGCATTTGCTTTTGGGTTCTTGGTCGTGAAGTCTTTGCCTAAGCCAATGTCTAGAAGGGTTTTTCCAATGTGGTCTTCTAGAATTTTTATGGTTTCAGGTCTTATATTTAAGTCCTTTGTCCATCTTGAGTTGACTTTTGTATTCTTTCTACATGTGACTTGCCAATCATCTGAGCACCATTTGTTGAATAGGGTGTGCTTTCTCCACTTTATGCTTTTGTTTGCTTCGTCAAGGATCAGTTTGCTCTAAGTATTTGGGCTTATTTTGTGCTCTCTATTCTGTTCCATTGGTCTACATGCCTATTTTTATACCAGTACCATGCTGTTTTGGTGACTATAGCCATATATATATATATATATATATATCAGGTAATGTGATGCCTCCACATTTGCTCTTTTTGCTTAGTCTTGCTTTGGCTATGCAGGCTCTTTTTTGGTTCCATATGAATTTTAGGACTTTTTTTTAGTTCTGTGAAGAATGATGGTGGTATTTTAATGGGAATTGCATTGCATTTGTAGATTGCTTTTGGCAGTATGTTCATTTTCACAATATTGATTCTACCCATCCATGAGCATGGGATGTGTTTCAATTTGTTTGTGTTGTCAATGATTTCTTTCAGCAGTGTTTTGTAGTTTTCCTTGTAAAGGTCTTTCATTTCCTCAGTTAGGTATATTGTTAAGTTTTGGGGGTTTTTTGCACCTATTGTAAAAGGGGTTGAGTTCTTGATTTGATTTTCAGCTCATTTGCTATCGGTGTATAGCAGAGCTACTGGTTTGTGTACATTAATTTTGTATCCTGAAACTTTGCTGAATTCATTTATCAGTTCTAGGAGCTTTTTGGAGGCATAAGATCTTATCATCATAGGCCGGGCACAGTGTCTCACGGCTGTAATCCCAGCACTTTGGGAGGCCGAGGCAGGCGGATCACGAGGTCAGGAGATCAAGACCATCCTGGCTAACATGGTGAAACCCCATCTCTACTAAAAAATAAAAAGAATTAGCAGGGCGTGGTGGCGAGCACCTGTAGTCCCAGCTACTCAGGAGGCTGAGGCAGGAGAATGGCGTGAACCCGGGAGGGAGACCTTGCAATGAGCCGAGATCACGCCACTGTACTCCAGCCTGGGTGAAGAGCAAGACTCCGTCTCAAAAAAAAAAAAAAAAAAAAATCATCAGCAATCAGCAACAGTTTGACTTCTTCTTTACCGATTTGGATGCCCTAGTTTCTTTCTCTTGTGTGATTGCTCTGGCTAGGACTTCCAGTACTATGTTAAATACAAGTGGTGAGAGTGGCCATCCTTGTCTTGTTCCAGTTCTCAGTGGGAATGCTTTTAACTTTTCCCCATTCAGTATTATGTTGGCTATGGTTTTGTCATAGCTGGCTTTTATTAGCTCGAGGTATGTCCCTTTTATGCCAATTTTGGTGAGGGCTTTGGTATATATACATATGTGTATATATATGTGTGTATATACACACACACGTATATATGTATATATACATACATATACATATGTGTACATGTGTATATATACATGCATATACATATATGTATATATACATACATATATATGTGTGTATATATATATTCCATCATATGTATATGATGGAATGCCACTCAGCCATAAAAAGGAACAAATTAATTGCATTGGCAGCAACCTGGATGGAACTGGAGGCTAATATTCCAAGTTCAGTAATTCAAGAATGGAAAACCAAACATTATATGTTCTCACTCATAAGTGGGAGCTAAGCTATGAGGATGCAAAGGCATCAGAATGATACAATGGACTTTGGGGACTTAGGGGAAAAGGTGGGAGGGGGTGAGAGATAAAAGACTACAAATTGGGTTCAGTGTATACTGCTTGGGTAATGGGTGCAACAAAATCTCACAAATCACCGCTAAAGAACTTACTCATATAACGAAATGCCAACTGTTCCCCAAAAACCTATGGAAATAAAAACTAAAAAATAAAAAACAATAAAATGGTGATGTTTATGGTATGTGACATATTTCAATATAACTGTCATTTAAAAAAATAGGAATCTACTACTGTCAATTTAGTCAGGGATAATGTGCACTAGACATTCTGAAATGTCGTGAGTCCTGTTCAATAGACTTTTTAAAATGAAACACTATCTGTATTTAATTCTGAGCCATTTATTTCTGAGCTAAATTCTTTTTCTTCTCATTACCACAGTTGTGAAAAATCAGTAGTCTGTGGCAGAAGACATCAATTAAGAAATAAGAAGATTTGGATACAAGTCTGAGCTCAATTACCAGAAGCTCAGGCAAGTTATTTAACTTTCTTGGGCTTCTTTTATCATCTAACAGATGTACGATAGTGAATTTTACGTCAAGCTGTCTGGTCCACAGTGCCCAGATATGTGGTCAAACATTATTCTGGTTGTTTGTGTGAGGGTGTTTTGGGATGAAATTAACATTTAAATTGGTGAACTCTGAGTAAAGAAGATTGCCCTTCATAATTAGAATGGGCTGCATCCAATCTACTGAAGGCCTTAACTGAACAAAAGGCTGACCTCCCTGAGCAAGGAGAATTAATTGTGCCTGTAGACACAGCATGAAGACCCTCTTCCTGGGTCTCCAGCCTGCTGGTCCATCCTGCAGATTTTAGACTTGCCAGCCTCTATAATGGTGTGAGCCAATTACTTAAAATAAGTCACTTTGTATATACACACACATATATAAATATATATATCCCTATATGAATATATATATATACACACACACACACACATCACATCCCATTGGTTCTATAACTCTAATATCTAATATATAGAGTATGCCCTGTAAAGCTATAAGGTTTTTGACATCTCCACCAATTTCAGCATATGGGTTTCAAATATACATATGTGGGTTTTACTACAAATATACAGATGTGGGTTTTACTACAAATATACATATGTAGGTCTTACTACAAATATACATATGTGGGTTTTACTGTAGTTTTTAAACTATATGGGTATTAAAAACTCCAGGTACATCCAGGGCACTCTGGAGGTTCCAACTGACCTTATCAACTCCACTAAGATGAGATAGCCATTTGGTAAATGACTACAGAAATAATGCTTACATTGACTCACCTGCCTTGTAACTGTCCTCCAAACCTGAGAATGAAATATGTTTCCTAAAAGTCGATGTGATCAGAATAAAAAGTATATGTTCATAGGGTTTAAGGATAGCCAGACCTACCCAGCACACCTGAAACAATAGCATGTATACAATCATTTACTTTGTCCATGGGTAAAATGAGTCCTGATAACAGAGCAGGAGACGTCAGTCTTCTTTGTCATCAATCATAAACACTAAGTTCCTAGTTTTAAAATATAGTTAATTCTGTTATTCTGTAACTGACTATCCAGATGTGTATTATTCAGAGCTTTTCATTTGGCAACACGTGTTTTTGCCATTTCACAGCTCATTTGTACTTCCACTAGCTTTGATACACTCATTACTATCTCTGGCAAAAGATTTGGTGAGAGAGGCAGTTGATGCAAATGAGATTTTTAGATTATCCACGCTCTCCCTTTCTACCATGACCATGGATAATCAAGAATTCACTGTGCAAAGAGCATAGAATGCAATTAGGCATTAGATAAGGAAAGCTTCACACATAAAATCACTAGGAATGTTTTAAAGGCAGTATCAAATAAAAACGTGCACCTGTGAAAACAAGCTGATGTTTCTTGTTAATGCTGCCTGATGCCTTCTGAAATGTCTCAAGAGAAATGATCATAAAAAATTATGGGCCCGGCGCGGTGGCTCACGCCTGTAATCCCAGCACTTTGGGAATCCGAGGCGTGTGGATCACCATGTCAGGAGATCGAGACCATCCTGGCCAACACGGTGAAACCCCGTCTCAAAAATTAGCCGGGCGTGGTGGTGGGCGCCTGTAGTCCCAGCTACTCAGGAGGCTGAGGCAGGAGAATGGCGTGAACCCGGGAGGCGGAGGTTGCAGTGAGCCGAGATCGCGCCACTGCACTCCAGCCTGGGCGACAGAGCGAGACTCCATCTCAAAAAAAAAAAAAAAAGACAGTAATTCCTCAACCCATTTCACAGTAGGGAAAACACCTTCATTGAGTGGTAGTGTCTAAAGGATACACGTTGATTTCGTGGTGCTGTCAGCAATCATCTCATTCAAAAAGTGTGCAATTAAAGCCTACTAAGTTTCTGACAGAGCTCGAGGTAGGCACTGAGGATATGAAGATGGTAAGACACAGCTCCTGCTTACATTTTAGTGGAGAGGCAGATAAGTAAGTAAATTATTTCACTTTAACAAGGCTAATTCTACTACAAGGGAATTCCAAAAGTGCTAGGAGAGGACAGAGGGACATTTATTCAAGTCTGGCAAGTCAGAGAAGCCTTTTAGTAGGAGGTGATATAAAGTAGTAAGGGATGATTAGAAGTTAAATGTTTTATGAAAAAGTAAAGGTAATTTTAGACGAAATAATATGAACAAAAGCATGAAGAATTAGGAGAACTTCATGTTTAGGGACAACCGTAAGTAGTTCCTTATCCTCTATCCTAAAGTACGAATCATGTAGAATCAAGTAATGAGAAAAGAGACATAAACCAGTGGTGAAATTACCTTAACTAACTTTGCTAAGAAGCTTGGGCCTGATCCAGTAAATGATAAAAAGCCATTGAAGAATTTTGACTGTGAGTGATGTGGCTAAACAGGTGTTTTAAATTGATCATCCCAGATAGATAGGGTGGGTTTTATTAGTGGGGAAGAGGATCTGAACAAGGAAAATATGTTGAAATTGTCACAAAAGCCAATTCGGTAACATTGTAACTAAACAAAGGTAGTTCAGGTAAGCGTAAAGGAAAAGACTTGAGAAACATTTAGAAGATAAATTGCCAAGACTGTTGAATAGTTGGAGAGACAAAGGAAACAAAAGAATATTTCCAAGATTCTAGAAAGTAAACATAGAACAAAAAACAGGTGGAGGACACTTGGTGGTTGATGAGTTCAGTACTGGCATGTTGAGGTCATCCAAGGAGAGATGACAAGCATGCATCTGCACCTTCAAACATAAAGCTCAGGTAAAATTAGAGCTGATGATACACATTTGGGAGTCATCAAGATAGTCGTTCAAATTATGAGAGTGAATGAACTACCCAAGGAGACAGTGTAAAATACTGATTCTCAACACCGGCTGCACATTAGAATCAAATGAAAAGATACTTATGCCAAGGATACCCTCAGACCACTTAAATCAGAACTTATGAGGTGCAGCCAGGATCTGGAATTATCACATTAAGGAAAAATAAAGGCAAGCCCATGACTTTTTCTTCATGCCTATGAAGAAAACCAAAAAGAAATGGACAGAAGTGTATGAAGGAAACCAGAAGAAAAAAAATAATGCCACTACTTCTATAGTCTCAATTGCCTTCACTAGAACAGGATGAATATGACATAAACATTGTTTTAAAAATAAATACTGTGATGTTCTATCATTTCAGAAATCCTTGATCACCACAATAGCATCCCATTTCAAGAGCTCAAGTCCATTTTACCACTATAAAATCAATTAGCTGGTTATGCTCCATCATAAATGGGTTTCCAAAAGTTTTAATTCCTTTAATCCATGGTGAAGCATATATTATTTTAAAACTAAGCAGATGTGTTCAACAATTATAAGAGGTCCAAGATGAAACTGAAGCCTTTTGTGGAAAAAATATTTTATTACAGAGGATTTATCTGTTTAGATAAATCTTAGTTTTCTTTGTTATTCTTTAAGGGCTGTTAGTTGGGGGATGGGGCAGAACTTGAATCCATTACAGATTGAAATGTAAAATTTGATGTACACATTTATACCTGTATTTATAATAAGCAACATTCAAGGTACTAATGGCATGTTTGCTCCCAAAAATTATATTACAGTTTTATTGTTTGAGGCACTGCTTTTGGATGCAACTGAAAATGTGATTATGACCTCTAACAATGGTAATTTAAGTATTAATTTCCACTTCTTTTCAGCAACTGGCAGCATCCATCAATTATACCATTAGCTTCCCAATGATTGCAGCTGCAAAAAGCAGAATTAGTGTTTAAGCTACTGTCACTCACCTGAAATTTTACAGTTCTAATTAGTGAGCCAAGAAGGCTGTCAACAACTAAATGCCAAATGATTGGCCTGGAAAAACAGCACTTCCTAACCCTTCCCCAAACTCACTCACCCAGTGTTGTTATGTCATTTCCTCCTAGTTCAGAATTCAAACTGTCAGAAAACTCTTTATTTTTTGTTTCTGGCAATATTTCTTAACAAGTGTTAATAAGACAATGGAAGGCATGTCACTTAAGCCCACCTGCTGTCTATAGAAAAGTTGTTTCATACTCCATTTTACCTTATATCTTTGCTTCTGCCAAATCTGATAGTGTAGTTATTATTTTACTTATGTACCAGACACTTTGCTAGATATTATACATATACAGATAAGTAGTAGGAAAAGATACTTGTTCTCAGGGAAGTTACATTTAAAATAGAGAGTTAAACACATTGACAGGAAGATAATAAATTAAAAAATATATCAAAAGGATAGATTCTGTGAAAATAGTTAAAATAGAGTTATGGGACTGACAGTGAGTAGAAGTCTACTTTGAATTTGGTAGCTACAGAAAGCCACTCTGGAGATATGTCAGCTTAGTCATGCAACATCAAATGGAGTCTACATTCAGAGCCCAAGGAAGAGTATTCTAGTAACAGGGTAAAAAGACTTTAGGGCAGGAATGAATAAAAAAACTGAATATTGAGAAAAAGAAAAAAGGCCATTGTGGACTGTAGTGGGAAAGGGTAATATCAGTTTAAGATAAGGTAACAGATATGGTCAGAGGCCAGAGCAAGTAAAGCTTTGTAAACTATAGTTTAAGGAGTTTGGATTTTATTCGAAGTATAGCAAAATGTCACTGGAGGGTTTTAATTTATGTTGTAAAAAGACTACTTCCTCTGGCTACTGTGTAAAGAAAGGATTATAATCTTGAGAAATTCCTACACATTTACAGTGAGAACATGAACAACAATGCCCATAGAAATATTGGTTATAATAGCAAAAACTGAAATAATACAATGAAAAATCAATTTTGTGACAGTCTTAAAATAGACTGCTATATGGTCATGAAAATTACAACTACAGTGGAACATATGAATATAAAGCAAAAATAACTATGAGTGGAAAAGAAATTGAAGAATAATATATACAGGATGATTCCACTTACATAAAACTGAAAATCATATATAAACTAAACAATATCTACTTTAGGATATACATATACAGTGAAAAAGTAAATCAATGTAAATTGTGGACATATCCTAGGATGACCCTCAAGGAGTCACACCATTGTATAGTCCCCTCCCTTGCAGTATGGGCTTCTAACCAATAGATTATTGCAAAGGCGGTGGAATGTCATTCTTCTATTTTCACAGACAGAAGTGAAACATTCTCAGTAAATACTGACCCTGAAGTAAGTTGACACATTGTGATGCTGTAAGTCTACGGCAAAACCTATGTGGCAAAGGACTCTCAAGAGTTGGAAGTGTCCCCAAACCAATGACCAGTAAGAAAACATAAATCTAAATCCTATAACCACATGAAGAGGAATTCTGCTAACAACCTACGGTATGTGGAATTAGATCTTTCCCTGGTTATGCCTTTGATGAGAACACAGCTCAGCCAATCTTAATCTTAATTGCAGCCTTGTCAAACTGTGAACAGAGGACTCAGCTAAGCCATGACCAAATACCTGACACACATAAACTGTGAGATAGTATGTGTATGTTGTTTTAAGCCACTAAGCTTGTGATAATTTGTTACACAGTAATAGTAAACTAATTCTGAAATAATAGACACAAACTTTGGAGTAATTATTACCTCTGGAGGAAGGAGATGTAACTAATGGCATCACAGTGTGGACTTCAAGGTTGTTGTTAATATGTGCTTTCTTCTTTTTATATCCTCATATTTTCTCTTGCAAAGAATATGTTAGATATTTTAATTAAAATCTTAGAGTCTCTGACTTTAATTGACTAGATTAACCCATTTATATTTATTGCAGCTTCTATTATTTTAGGACCTAATACTGCTATCATTTTAAAAATATTTTTTCATTTTTTATACTTTCCTTGCATTTCTTTTCTTCATTTATGCTTTCTATTGCATAAATTTAGTGTTCTTATTCTGTTTATATAATATTTTCTCCATTTGCTCTTGTAATAGACTTAAGACCCATTTAAATTGCTTTGCCTAATGAAACAAGTACTACAGCATTCTGGCATATTCCTACGTACTCCTCTTGTCTATTATGTTAATTTTGTCTGTAATTTTATTTTGAGTTCTAAAACTTCCCCAGAGCTGAGGGAGGAATCCAGCTGCCTATACTGGTTTGCCATTTTGTTAGGATAAGAAATGTTTCATTGTAATATTTAGTTGTCTATTTCTTCAGCTATTTGGCAGGCACATAATTGTTTTATCAGCCTTTAAGTGTCAAATGTATGTAATAGTATTTTGTATGAATCATTTAGTTCATTAATATTTTAAATAAAAAAGCATCTAGCACAATTGGTTCTTAATAAATATTAGTAAATTTAAAAGTGGAATACAAGGAACTGAATAATTATTCTCTTGATCACTATTTCACAAGTGCTCTGGTGATACCAACAAAGTTAAGAAATTATTCCAACAGGTAAGAAAGATCTTGTCCAGCCTTTCCTTTTTATCTAGAATCAGTGAGGTTACTATCACATCTACTTGCTTGAATCATTGATGCCATTCTGTTATTCGTTTATGAAACATGAGTCTGCTTATTCCAAGCACTTTCGGCCTCTTTAGGCATATTGCTTTTAATTAAGCACCTGTTCTATGCAATCCATTGTGGTTATTAATGTGCAGGATATGAAAAATAATTTGGCAGAACCCACAATGAGCTTCTCTTCTAGTAAGGGGAGATGGATATGCTCACAAATAATTATAATAGAAGGTTAATGTGACAAATGCAAAAGAGGGGTATAAATAGATTAATGGGAAAAGAGAAGAGAAGGCTTTATAAAAGATGTTTGGGCTGGGCCTTTGAAGAAGGGTAGAATGTGAACTCCATGAATAAATGTGTTCTTTTTTCTTACCTCTGAGCTGTCATAAAGACTGTTTTAAGTACATATACACTCTTAAGGGTCCATGTAGCCTAGCTAATTGCCACTTTTTCTTAGGTTCTCAGTTTTGTTGTATTGTCTTTCAGGAATCCTTCCAGCTCCCCATGCTCACTTCCCTGAGCTTGAATTAAGTGCTTTTTCCATGTATGCCCCCCAGACCCTAGTAAGTAAACTTTGCCGTTACTTTTACCATAGTCTGTAGTAATTACAATAAAATTGAGAAGTTCCTGTGTCTGCTAAAAAGTTAGCAGAGGTTTGCAGACATCTATTTGGGTTAATTACTTGTATTGAGGGACAGAGACCTGTGAGAAGAAATGTTTTATCAGAGCCAAAAAATAAGAGAGGGAAATGGAGAAGAGAATGTGCATCTCTTCTCCAGCTTTAACCCCAAAGGCTGGATTGGACAGAACTTTGTGAGACCTGGGGCATAAGTAGCGAGGCTTGGTAGTTCAGGTGACAAAGCAAAACTTAGAGGTAAGGCTCAGGGCATTTTCACATTCTGCTGAAAACAGCATGTTACACCAACCCAATGGCAACGTGGTGCCCCGAGGAATTTGCAAGGTTTGGAATACAGGACATTGAAGAGTGGGAGGGGCAACATACATGCAGAGGTACCACTAGCAGTCAGAAGTGCCTTTGTGGGAGCCCAAAAAAGAAAATTGAAGGATTCTATGAACACGTATGAGGTATCCTTGGGAATTCCTGAGTAACTCAGGAAACTTAGAAGGAAAACTGATGTTCATAACTTAAGAAGGTCTGAGGCAACAAATTCAGACATTAAGGTTAATATAAATTTATCTACATCTAACAGATGGTGAGGCCTAGAGAGTTTTGTAGGATTATTTCTATATCCCTACTTCCTTAATTAGATTGTGATTTCCTGAGAGGAGAGACTGTGCCTGGTTCACTGTGGGATTGCTAGAATTTGGCATAGTGTCTGAAACATATAGTATATATTCATTTAATAATTACTGCCTAAATGAGTCATAGGTGGTATTAGAACTGAAAATTCAGGACTCTTTACCTGAATTAGTATTGAATTGACTCCTGATTTCCTTTATAAAATATTTGTAACTGGGCCTTTGAAGAAATGTAGAATTTGTGCTTCTTAAATATGTGTGTTTTTCTCTCTTACCTCTGTGCTTTCATAAACATTATTTTAGCTGGATATACACTCTTTTGCATCTTCTTAGCCTAGCTGATTTTTCACTTATTCTAGAGGTTCACAGGCATCTATTTGCATGAATTATTTGTATTGGGAGAAAAGACCTGTTTCGCATGGGTAACTCAGTTTCACATGTGTGAATAAAAACAAAGTGGCAAGCAGATTAAAGATAGTAAGTGAACTTTCAAACATTCTCCTCAGTCTGTTTCTAACCACATCCAGTAAAATACAGTGTTATCTGGTAAGAACAGATGGGTTTTCAAACAAATATAATCAATTTCTACTATAATTTGGTTAATGCTGAATGACGAAGTTTTGAAATTGTGTATAAAGGGTTTTCTCTGTAATTCCCCCAAACAGTACTATTTGGGAGTGAGTATCTAGTCAGTGAATATTAACTCCTTACATTTCAAGTACAGCACATGTGAACATTTCTACACATACCATATGCTGCATTGGATGGTACATAAATAACAAGGTACATTCAGAGCATCATGCAGATATAAAGGCTGGGGTGTCTGAGGTAGCATTTTCATTCACAAGACTGAATCTGTGTGTTGTGGTCAGAAATCAAAGCTAATGTCAAAATCTTCTTACAAAAACAAGATTTTTCATAGTGATGAGAGAATTTACAGCAACCAAACTGATTTATTGATGAATTTACTATGCTCATGTGTCATTAAATAGTATGTGTAGACTGAAATACAAGAGACCTACACTGTTGCACAGGCTTTCATGAGCGTATGTGCTTCTGCTGCAGAGCTGCCTATGGGCTACTGGGGCTCCTGGATGGTCTAGCCATGTGTCTTCCCTAGGAGTATATTTAAAGATTTATGCAAAAATCTTTGTGGCACCAATAACAAGTTGGATTCTTGCACTCCCACTGTCAAAAAAAAAAAAAAAAAAAAAAGCAGTAAGCTATGAATGTAACAATAGATGTTTGGCTTGGCAACGCAATAAGAAACAAATGCCCCAAAATGACATTTCTTTAATATTGGGGAAAAAGTATCTTTGCTTAAAATGAAATAAAACTTTCTCCATTTAAAATATATTTATATAATAGAATTAAAAATAGATTATGGGAATAATAAAATTCCTGACACTTTCAGCTAGAGTTGGGTGTCTGACCATTTTATAGAAAAGTAAGATATCCTATGTCTATCCCCTCTATCCCCTGACAATCTATGAGACACCCTTGCTTTGACAGGCTCCCAACTAGAGAGTCAAAATATTAAGGAACCATTTATAAAGGGAGGTGACTCATCTGAAAATATTTGCATTACACTTCCCACTGAGCAAGAAGCTTAAGGAAGGATTCCAGTAACTTAGAAATGACAATACTTTGGAGAAAGCCGAAATAGAGTTTTAGGGGAACTCAACTTGTCTGTGCAGGCAAATACTGCACATTGGATTCATACAGACTGCTTAAAATATGTATGTCCATATTTTCCTTATACTAAGGTGTAATACTTGGGTGAAAGAAACTTCCTATTTATCTTCGTTTTCCATCATACATTTTCCTCATCTAAAGTTTACAGGAATTCCAATCAGCATTCTTTGGGGGCACCTTTCATTTTTCTAACATCATATGAGAGAGTCTTAAAAACTTAGGTGTATCACAAGAGAAGACTCTCAGTCTCAACTTTACCTTTTCTTCATATGGTGACTCTGTGCCTTGTTCAGACTGGTTTTTCACCATCCACCCAATTTTTTATTCTGTCTGCAGTGTTCTCACTTGCTTAGCTTTCTTGCTAGGACAACATGATCCTTATGTCAGCCATGGCAGATGGCTTTGCTGGTGGCATCATTTTTTTTTTTCTCAAAGCCCAGTACTTAGAGACATCATTTCCTGTTTTCCCACAATAATTCCATGGGATAGATGTTCTAGCATTTCTGAGATGCTGTGTTCCAATGGACTTGATCCATGTGCTTGTCCCATATGGAACCCACAATCCTCCCTTCCATCTACCAGGCAGAGATGACATTTATAGTTGTGTAGTGTGGACACTGAACAATAGAACCTAGCATAAGTGGCCAGTGGAGGACTGGAATCTAGCTATGCTCTACTGGCTAAGGTTGTGCCTTTGTCCTGGGCTGCATCTGCCCAGAGTGAACCTTTTTCTAATTTACACAGAAACCTTGTATAGGTCAGTAAGTAATAAGCCTGCCACACAGAATAACATCCTCTAGGTTTAAGCCACCCTCTCATCAACCTCTTGGGTAGATTCCTTTCTTGGATAATCCACTTTTAATTCATTTAATGGCACTGGGACATAAAGAAGTATTAAGCCCTTTCTGCCATCACAGTTTCCCTACCCTTGCTAAGAAGCTGGACTTTAGAAGTAAAGACCTGGTTGCTATCGTAGGTGACAGAGGAAAGAGAAAGAATAGAGAGTTCCTTTCAAATGAATCTAGAGTATTGAAAGAAAAAAAAGACAACAATTAACTTCTTACTCTGTGCCAAACACATTATCTAATTTAATCCTCACAGTAACTAAGAGATACTATAATTCACAGTTTATAAGGGAGGAAACTGAAGTATAGAGAGATTACCTGACAGGCTTAAAAATCATGTACTTAGTAAATTATAGAATCTAGACTTGAACCCAAGCCTTCCACTTCCAGAGCCTGTGCAGTTAACCATTAAACAATAATTCTATAATTTATTCTGTCACAAGAGTAATTTGGGAAAATTGTTTAAAAACATTGTACTTTTAACAACACAAAGTAGGGGCCTAGCACAGTGGCTCATCCCTGTAATACCAGCACTTTGGGAGGCTAAGACAGGTGGGGTGCCTGAGCTCAGGAGTTCGATACCAGCCTGGGCAACATGACAAAATCCTGTCTCTACAAAAATCAGCCAGGTGTGGTGGCACATGCATGCAGTCCCAGCTACTTAGGAGGCTAAGGTGGGAAAATTGCTTGAGCCTGGGAGGTCGAGGCTGCAGTGAGCCATGATCGTGCCACTTATTATATTATCCAGCAATCACTCCTAGATATTTACCTATTTAATTTGAAAATTTATGCCCACATAAAAACCTGCACAGGAATTATAGCTTTAAACTTAATTCCCAAAAGCTGGAAACAACCAAGATATCTGTCAATAGGTGAATGAATAAACAAACTGTGGTATATCCTTACAATATAATATTATTTAGTGATTAAAAACAAATGAGCTATCAAGTCACAAAAATATACAGATACATTTTAAATGCATATTTTTAACTGAAAGAAATTGGTCTGAAAAAGCTATGTGATTCCAATTATACAACATTGTGGAAAAGGTAAAACTATAAACAGCAGTTTCCAAGAATTTGTCGGGGGAGGGGCGTTAAAGAGATAAAATGCAGGAGCTATATTAGGGCAGTGAAACTATTCTGTATGATACTGTAATGATGAATAAACACGTGAACTATGCATTTGTCAAAATCCATAAAACTCGACAGCACAAAGGGTGAACCTTAATATAGCCAAGTTTTTTAAAACAATCACTTAGATTAGGGAACCTCGGGAAGGAATGAAGACTGTGACAAGAGGGTATAACTGTAACAGAAGTATATAAAACAACCTCATTCAAGAAGGTGGGAGAAGAAGTACTGACCTAAGTAACTCTGGAAAAGAGTATTTATAAGGCGGAATGCAACAGAAATTGCACACAAGCAATGTACTTTGGTTGATAAAATTGTTTCTCACAGGTGTAAGAATTAATGATGCTGATACTGCTACACAAGTATGGACATGCCCCATTTTATTGCACTTCACTTTATCGTGCTTCACAGATATTACAGTTTTTACAAACTGAACGTTTTTGGTAATCCCGCATCAAGCAAGTCTATCAGCACCATTTTTCCAACAGCATATGCACACTTTGTGTCTGTGTCACATTTTGGTAATCCTTGCAATATTTCAAACTTTTTCATTTTTTTAGTTATCTGTGATCAGTGATCTTTGATGTTACTATCAAAATTGTTTTGAGAGGCCATGAACTGCACCCATGTAAGATGGCAAACAATTTATAAATGTTTGTGTTCTGACTGCTTACTGACCAGCCATTATCTAATCTTTTTCTCTCTTGCCTTGGCATTTCTATTCCCTGAGACACAACATTATTTAAATTTGGCTAATTAATAACCCTACAATGATCTTTAATTGTTCAAGTAAAAGGAAGAGTCCCACACTTCTCACTTTAAATCAAAAGCTAGAAATTACTAAGCTTAGTGAGGAAGGTATGTTGAAACCTGAGATAGGCTGAAAGCTAGGCCTCTTGTGCCAATAGTTAGCTACGTTGGGAATGCAAAGGAAAAGTTCTTGAAGAAAATTAAAAGTGCTATTCCAGTGAACACAGAAATGATAAGAAAGCAAAACAGCTCTGTTGTTGATATGGAGAAAGTTTAAGTGCTCTGTCTAGAAGATTCAACCAGGTACAACTTTTCCTTAAGTAAAAGACTAATTCAAAGCAAGGCCCTAAATCTCTTCAATTCTATGAAGGCTGAGAGAGGTGAGGAAGTTGCAGAAGAAAAGTTTGAAGCTAGCAGAGGTTGCTTTACGAAGTTCAAGAAAATACATCATCTCCGCAGTAGAAAAGTTCAAGGTTAAGCAGCAAGTGCTGATATAGAGCTTGCAGCAAGTTATCCAGAAAGTCTAGCTAAGATAATTGGTGAAGGTGGCTGCATTAGAAAACAGATTTTTAATGTAGACAAAACAGCCTTCTATTGAAAGAAGATGCCATCTAGGACTTTTATAGCTAGAGAGGAGAAATCAACACCTGCCTTCAAAGCTTCAAGGTACAGGACAACTCCCTTGTTAGGGGCTAATGCAGCTGGTAACTTTAAGTTGAAACCAGTGCTCATTTACCATTCCAAAAATCCTGAGCCCTTAAGAATTATGCTAAATCTACTTTACCTGTTGTCTATAAATGAAACAACAAAGTCTGGATTAGAGTACATCTGTTTACAGCATGGTTTACTAAATATTTTAAGCCTATTGTTGAGACCTACTCCTCAGGAAAAAAAAAGATTTCTTTTAAAATATTACTGCACGTAACACTGCACCTGGTCACTCAAGAGTGCTAATGGAGATGTACAAGAAGATGAATGTTGTTTTCATGTCTGCTAACACAACACTCATTCTTCACCCCATTGGTCAAGGAATAATGTTGACTTTAAAATCTTATTATTTAAGAAATAAATTTTGGAAGGCTTTAGCTGCCAAAAGATAGTGACTATTTTAGTGGATCTGGGAAAAGTAAATTGAAAACCTTCTGGAAAGGATTCGCCATTTTTAGATGATATTAAGGACATTTGTGATTTATGGAAGAAGGTCAAAATATCAGCATTAACAGGAGTTTGGAAGAAGGTGATTCCAGCTCTCACAGATGGCTTTGAGGGGTTCACAACTTCAGTGGAGGAAGGAACTGTGTACGTGGTAGAAATAACAAGAGAACTAGAATTAAAAGTAGAGCCAGAAGATATGATTGCATTGCTGAGATCTCATGATAAAACTTTAATGGAAGACGAGTTGCTTCTTATGGATGAGCAAAAAAAGTGTTTTCTTGAGATGGAATCTACTCCTAGTAAAGATGCCTGGCAAACACTGCTGAAATGACAACAAATAATTTAGACTATTTCACAAACTTAGTTGATAAAGCAGCAGCAGCAGGGTGTCAGAGAATTGGCTACAATTTTAAAAGAAGTTCTACTATAGTTAAAGTGCTATCAAACAGTATCACATGCTACAGAGAAATTTTTATAAAAGGAAGAGTCAATCAATGTGGCAAATGTTATTTTAGTCTTTTTTTCTTTTTAAGAAACAGCATTTCATTCTGTCCTGAGTAGCTGGGACTACAGGTGTGTGCCACCATGTGCAGCTAATTTTTTATATTTATTTTTGAGAGACAGGGTATCACTATGTTGTCCAGATTGGTCTCAAACTCCTGCCCTTAAGAGATCCTGCCTCAGACTCCAGAGTAGTTGGGATTGCAGCCACAAGCTGTGTGCTAGTCCACTGTAGTCTTACTTTAAGAAATTGCCACAGCCACTCCAGCCTTCAGTAACAACTACCGTCATCAGTCTACAATTATCAAAATTGAGGCAAAATCCTCCATCAGCAAAAATATTACAATTCACCAAAGGCTCAGATGACCACTAGCATTTTTTAGCAATAAATGATTTTAATTAAGATATGTAGATTGTTTTTATGGACATAATGCTATTGCACACTTAATAGAATGTAGTGTAATGTAAACATAACCTTGATATGCACTGAAAAATAAAAAAATTCATGTGACTCACTTTATTACAATATTCACTTTACTGCAGTGGTCTGGAAAAAAACTGCAATATTTCTAAAATATGCCTGTATTCTGGAACTGAATAAGTAATTAAATGGATGAAAGGCAGGAGGCTGATTACTCACTGATGGAGTAGGAATTTATAGATATAGCAAGCAGAGGAGCTAGAATAATTCACGTGGTAATGAATTAGTGTTGCAGACATTACCAAGAATATATATAATTTCATATAAATATATATGAATGCATATAATTTCATATGGATAGAGCTACATAGATATTTACAGACATATATTTCTTCTGTCAACTGAGAGGGCCTAAAGTAAATGACATTCCAATAGCAACAAGCACACCTTATACCCAGATCTTGGCTTCTAACAACATTCTCCAATTAAAAACAACAGCAACAACAAAAAAAGACAAGTTGTCTCCCACTGAGACAGACCAGAGTATCAGGCAAACCAGCATACACCAAGTAGACCATCTGAGAGAATAAACTGAGAGAGGGTAGACAGATGACCCAGATGCTGGAACTGAAGGAGAAGATGAGATGAAGTGGAAGAGAGATGATCCAAAAGCTGGGAACCCTGCACAGGGCTGCCAAGTACGTGGACACATTCCAGGCCCTGAAAAGCTCCCTAAAAATGGGGTGGCTCTGACCTGTGTAAGTTGCTAGACCTGGAAACAGCAGGGCTGTCTTTGTTGCAGGACCATGGAGAGTGACCTGTGGAACCTGCTGTCTGCCAGCTACTCCCAGAGTCACTGCCTAGCCGTGACTGCATGCAGCACAGCCTCAGCTACCCTGCTGGAGCACTTTTCCCAGCAGACACCACCACAGTGATTCTGCCGCAGGCCTCACTGCCTCAACAGAGCACTTTTGCTAACAGCCTCCCACTAAAACATGTTTGCCTGAAACTCCACCAACACCACTTCAAAGCACATTTTTCCACAGTGCCACTGCCACCCCTTCAGTGCACTTCACCCCACCACAACCTCCACCCCAGGTGGCCTTCCACCCAAGTGCCTCCCACCAGCATCACCCCTGCTGCCCCAACTGGAGCACCTGCAGTGGCCCTTCTGGAATGCCTCCCATCCACAGCACCCACCTCAGGAACACCTCCCACCTGTGGTGCCACCCTGCCACCATCAGAGCATTTATGCTCACGGCTCCCACACCATCCCCCCAAGAATGCTGTTGCCAGCAGTACTGGAATAACTTGGCCACTCCAGCCCAGGTAGGACTTGACCTCGAGGGACCAGAGGACAAAGCTATAGACCCAGGGTTAGAGAATGCAGCCCAGGAGTATGGAACTGAGCCTAGACCCTCTGAAAGCATCCAGAAGCAAAGTCACTCAACTATAAACAACTTGCACCATAGTCAATCCCTCAAGGACAAGAAAGAGCATAAAATCAAAAGCTCCACCCAAAGGACAGTAACTTCAAAGGATAAAGGAACATCAGCACTCACAGATGAGAAAGAACCAGTGTAAGAACTCAGGCAACTCTAAAAGCCAGAGTGTCTTCTTACCTCCAAACAATCACATTAGCTTCCTGGCAATTGTTCTTAATCAGATTGAAATGACTAAAATTTTAGACATAGAATTCAGAATCTGGATGGTGAGGAAACTCATTGATATACAAGAGAAGGTTGAAACCCAATCCAAGGAAAACAGTAAGATGATCCAAACATTCAAAGATGACATAACCATTTTAAGGAAAAAAACACTAAATTTCTGGAAGTGAAAAATTTGCTACATAAATTTAAAAATATAACTGGAAGCCATAGCAACATAATAGACCAAGCTGAGGAAAAATCTCAGAGTTGGAAGAATGCGCCTTTAAAGCACCATGGGTAGACAAAAATGAAGAAAAAAGAATTATAAAAATGAGCAAAACCTCCAAGAAATATGGTATTATGTAAAGACATCAAGCCTACAACTCATGGGCATTCCTGAAAGAGGAGAGAGAGCAAGTAACCTGGAAAACATAATTAAGGATACAGTCCACCCATAAAATTTTTCCCAATCTCAGTAGAGAAATTGACCTGCAAATTCAAGAAATTCAGAGAACCCCTGCAAGATGCTGTGCAAGATGACCATCCCCATAACACACAGTCATCAGAATCTCCAAGGTCAACATGAAAGGAAAAATCTAAAAGCAGCTAGAGAAAAAAGGGGAAAAGTGGCAGATAGGAGACAGGACTAACTTACAGCTCCCACTCGGACAGACAGAGCAGCGTGTAGAGACCCACATCGTGAACTTTTGCTACAAGAGCTACCACAAGTACATACCAAGAAAGCTGAGAGAATCTGCAGACCCTTTTGAAGAAGGTGGGTTGCTGCTGCAGGTTCTGTGGGACAGCTGAGGAACTGTGAGTCGGCTTTCTTTCTCAGCTGGGAGGTTTGTACCCTGGCACAAGCTCTTAGCCCTGCTCACCGGCTGCCTGGAAGTAAACTTGGTGCTGTTGTGGGGCCATGGTGAGAGTAAGACCAGTCTTTTGGGCTATGGGCTGCATGGGAGCTGGATGAGGCATGTGGCTGCTGGCTTTTCCCCACTTCTTTAGCTACCTGTGTGACACAGCAGAAGCAGCCATAATCCACCTGGGAACATAACTCTATTGGCCTGGGAATCCCACCCCCATCCCCAACAGCAGCTGCAGCAAGTCCTGCCCAAGGAGAGTCTGACCTCAGACACACCTAACCCTGCTCCCACCTGATGGTCTTTCTCTACTGGCCCTGGTAGCCAAAGACAAAGGACATCATCTCTTGGGACCTCTATGGCCCTAGCCACCACCTGACACTAGGGCAAGCTTGTGTCTTCCCTACAATACTGCAGCTCCACCTAAAAAATACAGAATGACAGAATGGATAAGAATTCACCAATCAAGTGTCTGCTGTCTTGAAGAGACTTACCTGATACATAAGGACTTACATAAACTTAAAGGGGTAGAAAAAGATATTCCCTGCAAATAGACACCAAAAGGGAGCAGGAGTAGCTATTCTTATATCAAATGAAATACATTTTTAAGCAACAGCAGTTAAAAAAGGCGAAGAGAGACACTATATAATGATAAAATAACTAGTTCAACAGAAAAATATTACAATCCTAAATATATATGCACCTAACAATGGAGCTCCCAAATTTATAAAATGAATACCCATAAAATCTTTGCCCATGCCTATGTCCTGAATGGTATTGCCTAGATTTTCTTCTAGATTTCACTGCTCAGTGATGAGCGCACCAAAACCTCAGAAGTCACCACTAAAGAACTTATTCATGTAACCAAACAGTACCTGTTCCCCAAAAACCTATTGAAATATTAAAAACAAATTAAGGCAGATAGAGAACAGGGGCTGTTCACTTACAAAGGGAATAGTAATACTTCCAACAGGCTAATCGTAGAACTTTCAGCAGAAACCCTTTATGTCAGACAAGATTTGGATCCTACATTCTGCATTCTTAAAGAAAAAAAAAATCCAACCATAAATTTTATATTCAGCCAAACTAAGCTTCATAAGCGAAAAAGAAATAAGATCCTTTTCAAACAAGCAAATGCTAAGGAAATTTGTTACCACTACACCTGCCCTACAAGAAGTCCTAAAAGAAGTGCTAAACATGGAAATGAAAGAATGATATCTGCCCTGAAAAAAGCACACTTAAGCGCACACCCCATTGACACTAAGAAGCAATTATACAACAAAGTCTACATGAAAACCAGGTAACAGCATAATGACAGGATAAAATCATCACATATTAATATTGACCCTGAAGGTAAACAAGAAGAATGCCCCATTT
This sequence comes from Homo sapiens, assembly GCF_000001405.40. NCBI lineage: Eukaryota > Metazoa > Chordata > Mammalia > Primates > Hominidae > Homo > Homo sapiens. The sequence goes on along the minus strand of NC_000004.12, from coordinate 79,138,655 downwards.
ATTTATTTTTTTTTCTTTTTTCTTTTTCTTTTTTTTGGGGGGGGGAGGACGGAGTCTCGCTCTGTATCCCAGGCTGGAGTACTGTGGCATGATCTCAGCTCACTGCAAGCTCCACCTCCCGGGTTCACACCATTCTCCTGCCTCAGCCTCCTGAGTAGCTGGGACTACAGGCGCCTGCCACCGCGCCCGGCTAATTTTTTATATATATATATATATTTAGTAGAGACGGGGTTTCACCATGTTCGCCAGGATGGTCTCGATCTCCTAACCTCGTGATCTGCCCGCCTCAGCCTCCCAACGTGCTGGGATTACAGGCATGAGCCACCACGCCTGGCCTATTTTTTAATTTTTAATTTAATTTAATTTTAAGTTCCAGAATACATGTGCAGGATGTGCAGGTTTGTTACATAGGTAAATGTGTGTCATGGTGATTTGCTGCACCTGTCAACTTATCACCTAGGTATTAAGCCCCGCATGCGTTAGCTATTTATCCTGATGCTCTCCCTTCCCCCTCACCAGAGGCCCCAGTGTGTGTTGTTCCCTCCCTGTGTCCATGTGTTCTCATTGTTCCTCTCCCACTTATAAGTGAGAACAGGTGGTGTTTAGTTTTCTGTTCCTGTGTTAGTTTGCTGAAAATAATGGCTTCCAGCTTCATCGATGTCACTGCAAAGGACACAATCTCCTTCCGTTTTATGGCTGCATAGTATTCCATGGTTTATATGTATCACATTTTCCTTATCCAGTCTATCATTGATAGGCATTTGGGTTGATTCTATGTCTTTATTAGTGTGAATGGTGCTGTAATAAACATATGCGTGCACGTACCTTTATAATAAAATGATTTATACTCCTTTGTGTATATACCCAGTAATAGGATTGCTGGGTTATATGGTATTTCTGGTTCTAGGTCTTTGAGGAATCACCACACTGTCTTCCACAATGGTTGAACTAATTTACATTCCCACCAACAGTGTAAAAGTGTTTCTATTTCTCTGCAACTTTGCCAGCATCTGGTTTATTATTTTTTTTTTTACTTTTTAATAGTCGCTTTCTAACTGGTGTGAGATGGTATCTCATTGTGGTTTTGATTTGCATTTCTCTAATGATCAGTGATGTTGAGCTTTTTTTATATGTTTTTTGGCCACATAAATGACTTCTTTTGAAAAATACCTGTTCATGTCCTTTGCCCACTTTTTAATGGGGTTGTTTGTTCATTTCTTGTAAATTTGTTTAAGATCCTTGGATATTAGACCTTTGTCAGATGGATAGATTGCAAAAATTTTCTCCTATTCTGTAGGTTGTCTGTTCACTCTTATAATAGTTTATTTTGCTGTGCAGAGGTCTTTAGTTTAATTAGATCTCCTTAGTCAATTTTTGCTTTTGTTCCAATTGCTTTTGATGTTTTGTCATGCAATCTTTGCCCATGCCTATGTCCTGAATGGGCAATGGGTTTTTATAGTTTTGGGTTTTACATTTAAATCTTTAATCCATCTTGAGTTAATTTTTGTGTATGGTGTAAGGAAGGGGTTCAGTTTCAGTTTTATGCATATGGCTAGCCAGTTTCCCTAGCACCATTTATTGAATAGGCAATCTATTCTCCATTGCTTGTTTTTGTCATGTTTGTCAAAGATCATACGGTTGTAGATGTGTGGTCAAAATCCCGCATTTAAAAGGCATATAGTGTCAAGTTGGAAAAGAAACAAGACTCAACTGTCTGCTATCTTCAAGAGACACCTACAGCTTCAAAGTAAAGGAATCGAGAAAGATCCTATCAGGCAAACAGAAAACAGAAAAGAGAAGGGGTTGCTATTCTTATATGAGATAAAGCAAACTTTAATCCAACAATGATCAAAAAGTACAAAGAAGAACATTACACAATAATAAAGGGCTGAATCCACCAAGAAGACTTAACTATCCTAAATGTATAGGCATCCAACATTGGAGCCCCCAGATTCAAAAAACAAGTTCTTAGAGACCTATGAAGAGACTTAGACAATTGCACAATAATAATGGCGGACTTCAACACCACACTAACAGTGTTAAACAGGCCATTGAGGCAGAAAATTAACAAAGATATTCTGGACCTGAACTCAACACTTGACCAATTGGACTAATAGACATCTACAGAATACCCCATCAAAAGACAACAGAATATTCATTCTTACCTTCTACGCAGCATGTGCTTTAAGTTGTACCACATGCTCAGCCACAAAGCGAGTCCCAACAGATTTTTAAAAATTAAAATCAAACCAACAATACTCTCAGACCACAATGCAGAAAAAAGGAAATCAATACCAAGATCTATCAAAACTGTACAATAACATGGAAGTTAAACAACATGCTCCTGAATGACTTTTGAGTAAATAATTAAATTAAGGCAAAAACAAAAAAAAAATTCTTTGAAACTAATGAAAACAGACACAACATACCAGAATCTTTTGGACACAGCTAAAGCAGTCTTAAGAGAAAAGTTTATAGCACCAAACACCTATATCAAGAAGTTAGAAAGATCTCAAATTAACAACCTAATGGCGCACCTAGTGGAATTAGAAAAACAAAAGCAAACCAACCCCAAAGCTAGCAGAAGAAAAGAAAGAATCAAAATCAGAGCTGAACTGAATGAAATTGATACATGAAAATCCTCATAAAAGATCAACAGAACCTAAAGTTGGTTCTTCAAATGATTAAACAAGACTGATAGACTGCTAGCTAGATTAATAAAGAAAAAAAGGGAAAACCCAAATAAACCCAAACAGGAACAATGAAGGTGACATTACAACTGACCCCAAAGAAATACAAAAAGTCTTTAGAGACTATTATGAATGCCTCTATGCACACAAACTAGAAAACCCAGAAGAAATGGACATATTTTTGGAAACACATGGCTTCCCAAAATTGAACCAGGAAGAAATTAAAGTCCTGCACAAAATAATAGCAAGTTTCAAATGTGAATCTGTAATAAAAACCCTACCAACCAATAAAGGGCCTGTATCAGATGGATTCACAGTCAAATTCTACAAGATGTAAAAGAGCTAGTACCAATCCTACTGAAGTTATTCTTAAAAAAAAAAAGAAAAAAGAAAAAAAAGAAAAGAGGAGGAGGACTTCTCCCTAACTCATTCTATGAAGCCAGAATCATTCTGATACCAAAGACTGGCAGAGACAAAACAAAAAAAAGAAAACTTCAGGGCAATATCCCTGATGAACACAGACACAAAAATCCTCAACAAAATACTAGCAAACTAAATTCAACAGACATCAAAAAGTTAATTCATCATGATCAAGTATGCTTTATTCCAATGCAAGATTGGTTTAACACAAATAAATAATTAGTTTAATGTAAACAAATAAATAAATGAGTTTCACTACATAAACAAAATTTTATTAATAATCACATGATCATCTCAATGGATGCAGGAGAGGCCTCTGATAAAATTCAACATCTCTTCATGTTAAAAACACTCAACAAATTAAGCATTGAAAGAACATACCTCAAAATAATAAGAGGCATATATGACAAACCTGCAGCTAACATCATACTGAACAGGCAAAAGCTGGAAGCAGTCCCCCTGAGAACTGGAACAAAAAAAAATGCCTAATCTCACCACTGTTATTCAATGTAATACTGGAAGGCCTAGCCTGAGCAACCTGGCAAGAGAAGGAAAGAAAAAAGCATCCAGATAGGAAAAGAGGAAGTCAAACTATCTTTCTTCATGAACAATAGGCTTCTTTACCTAGAAAATCCTGAAGACTCTGCCAGAAGGCTTCTAGAACTCATAAATGACTTCAGTAAAGTTTCAAGATATAAATCAATGTACAAAAATTATTACATTTCTATATTCCAATAACATCCAAGGTCAGAGCCAAATCAAGTACACAATCCTACAAAAAACAGCCACAAAGGATAAAATACCTAGGACTACAGCTTACCAAGGAGGTGAAAGATCTCTACAATGAGAATTGCAAAACACTGCTCAAAGAAATCAGATGACACACAAAAAAATAGAAAAACATTCCATGCTCATAGATAGGAAGAATCAATATTGTTTAAATGGCCATACTGCCCAAAGCAACTGACAGATACAATGCTATTCCTATCAAACTTCCAATATTATTTTTTCACAGAACTAGAAAAATCTATTCTAAAATTCATATGAAATCAAAAAAGAGCCCAAATAGCCAAAGCAATCTAAGCAAGAAGAACAAACCTAAAGGCATCACACTACCCAACTTTAAACTGTACTATGAAGCTACAATAACCAAAATGACAAAAACAGCATGGTACTAATACAAAAAGAGACACATGTACCAATGGAACAGAATAGAGAACCCAGAAATAAAGCCAAATACCTACAACCACCTGATCTTTGACAAAGTTGACAATAGCAAACAATGGGGAAAATACTCCCTATTGTGCTGGGAGTCAATAAATGGTGCTGAGATAACTGATCTGCCATATGCAGAACATTGAAACTAAATCCCTTTCTTTCACTTCAGGCCAATATATCTGACTACTACGGGAAGCCCTGAAAAAAAAAGAGAACACATATTTTAAAATATCAGTCACATTAAAAAGATCTTTCCTATTAAGTCCTTTGAAAGCCTTCAAATGTATTAGAAGAAATCAATGCTACCTCTCAATATTCGACCCTGGGCATGCAAAGAGCATGGTGGTCAGCCAGTTCAGCATACAGACCTGGGTCCTGGCCTTGTAGCTCCAGGTGTGCAAACCTGAAAAACGCTGCTCAGAATTTGCTAGAGGTAAAAGAGACATTTTGATTCTAATATACCTAGCCGACACTGCACTTCAAGATTTCAAGGCCAAGTATCTCAGTTGTGATATTGTGCTACAGTTTTGTAAGATAATATCATTGAGGACTCTGAGTAAAAGGTATAAGGGAATTTCTCTATAATTTCTTACAACTGTATGTGAATCGATAATTACCTCAAAATAAATAGTTTAATTAAAAATGTGAAGTGGTTGAAGCATTCAAGGTTTATTCACCCATTCATTCATTGAATATTTCAGAAATATTTATTGATTATCCATACTATTATAGATGCCAGGGATAGAGAGGTCAGTATGATACATATGACCTTTGGCCTCATAGAATTTAAAATGTAGCCAAGAAGAGAGAGGATTAATTAGTTTAAAATGTGAGGAATATTAAGAGAACAAATGGGAGTATCAGGACTACATATAAGAAAGAAGCCTAACCTATCACTGAGCCAGGAGAAGAAGGGTCAGAGAATGTCTTTACCCATGGCACATTCTCCCCAAGTGTCTCCCAGCTATTTCTGAATGCTGGCGAGTCCTCTCCAGATTGTCTGGAAATTTTCGTTTCCTTGGGATATTGTAATAATAGATTAATTAAATATTTACTTTGTGCCAGATACTGTGCAAAGTGCTTTAATGACTTACTTCATTCAATACTAAAAACATTTTACAAATGAGAAAACTGAGACTTAGTGAAGTCAATTAACTCGCCCAGAGTTGCACAGAAAAATAAATGTGAGAGCCAAAATTAGTACCAGATAACCTGACAACAGAGCCTAGATTTTACCACTGCTTTTTACTGCACCTCTGTCACAATGCAATTGCCAAGTAATCTGTTTCTTCAAGATATTTATCTCTAAAGCTAATATAATAAAGGAATGCATTTATTTGGGCTACTTGTGGCTACTGGTGTAATGGGTGTACCACCTAAATAACATATCTTCATTTTAACATTTGTCTTGGAAGAAAACCATTGCTGCATTTACAAATGATGTTAGCTAGCTGACTATTTACTTGAAGGGAAAGGAGAAAATATTTTATTTGAGTTAACACTGTCCAGTATCTGATCTACACCTTTGAAAGGCCAGAAAAAAAATGTATACACCCTAAAATACTTACACTAAAAAAAACTGCAAAATAAACCTAAGGAAACTGAAACAAATTAGTTAAGATTAAAACATAAAACAATTGTTCATAGTAGTTTTTTATGATCCTTTATATTTCTGTGACATCAGTTGTAATGTCTGCTCTTTCAATTCTGATTTTATTTGAAATTTCTCTTTTTTCTTCATTCTGTTAAAGGTTTGTCAACTGACTTATATTTTTAAAAAACAGCTTATAGTTTAATGTTTTTCTATTCTCTATTTTATTTATTTCTGCTCTGATCTTTATTATTTCCTCCTTCTGCTAATTTTGGGCTTAGATTATTTTTCTTTTTATAGTTTCTTGAGGTATAAAGTTTGGTTGAGATCTTATTTATAAATGTAGGTGTTTATTGCTATAAACGTCCCTCTTAGTACTACTTTTGCTGCATCCAATAAGTTTTGATATGTTGTGTTTATGTTTTCATTTGTCTCAAGATATGATCTAATTTCTCTTTTAATTTTTTCTTTGACTCATTGGATATGCAAGAGTATATATGTGAAATTATATTTGTGGAAATATGTGGAATTTAAACATATTTCAATTTTCTTCTTTTTCTTCCACTATTGATTTCCAGTTTCATTCTATTGTAGTCAGAAAAAAATACATGGTCTGACTTCAGTCTTCTTAAACTTTTAAGGACTTGTTTTGTGACCTAATATGTGATCTATTCCATAGAATGTTCCATGAGCACCTAGAAAAATATGTATTCTGCTGCTGTCAAGTGGAATGTTTGATATATGACTACTAAGCCCATTTAGTCTATAGTATTATTCAATTCCAATGACTCCTATAGTATTATTCAATTCCAATGACATCAATAAGGAGTATGAATATGAAAATATGAATATGAATATGGGAATATGAAAACATATTTCATAGAAAATTGAAATATGTTTAAATTCCACATATTTCCACAAACATAATTCCACAAATACACTCTTGCATATCCACAAATATAATCTTGCATATCTTGAAAGTGAGATATTGAAGTCTCCTACTGTTATTGTACTGCTTTCTATATCTCCCTTCAGTTCTACCAATCAATGTTTGCTTTACATATTTAGATGCAATGATGTTGGGGTCATCTATACATATAATTGTTATATCTTCCTGGTGAATTGATATTATTATTATTATAAAATGTCTTTTTTAATCCATTCAGCCACTTTATGTATTTGATGAGTTTAATCCATTTATATTTAAAGCAATGAATGATAGAGAAGGACTTACTATTGCCAATTTGTTCATTGCTTTGTCTGTCTTGTAGTTATTTTGTCCCTCTTTCCCTCTCTTGCTGTCTTCCTTTGTGTTTCTGTTAATTTTTTGCATTAAAATACTTTGATTCCTTTCTGATATTTTGTGTATGTTCTATAAGTATTTTCTTTGTTGCTGCCATGGGGCTTACATAAAATATTTTATACTTATAATGGCCGATTTTTAATCTGGTAACAAGGTAACCTAGAGGAAATGAATATACATTTTTAGAAACATATTACCTACTAAGACAGAATCATGAAGAAATAGAAAATCTGAACAGACCTATAATTTATCAGTAAGGAGATTGAATAAGTCATCAAAAACCAACAAAGAAAATCTCAGAACTAGATGGCTTCAATGGTAAATTTCATAAATTATCTCAAAAGAAACTACCATTAATTATTCTTAAACCACTATAAAAGCTTGAAGTGGAGAGAACACTTCCAAATTTATTTTATGAAGACAGCATTACTCTGATACCAATCAAAGACAGACAATGACACTAGAAGGAAAGCAAACTACAGGCTAATATCCCTGATGAACACAGATGTAAAAATCTTCAATGAAATATGAGAAAACCAATTCAACAACACATTAAAAGCACCATTCACCATGATCAAGTGGGATTTATCCCTGGGATACAATGATGATTCAATATATAAAAAACAAAAATTATTTGTGTTCTGTATCCTAATAATAAAGTATTTAAAAACAAAGTTAAGAAAATGCATATTTACAACAGCATCAAAAAGAATCAAATACATAGAAATAAATTTAAGGTGAAACACATAAACCTTGAAACATAAAATATTAAAGAAATTAAAGAAGATACAAATAAAAACACATCCTACGTTCATAAATTTGAAGTCTTAACATTGTTTAAATGTCTATAACTACCTAAAGTGACCTAAAGATTCAGCAAAATCCCTAACAAAATTCCACTGTCATTTTTTACAAATATAAAATAAACAAAGGACCCTGAATTCAAAAGAATTTTTTATTTTGAGAAAAAAGAACAAAGCTGAAGGCATCCCACCTTCTGATTTCAAAATATATTACAAAGCTACAGTAAATAAAACAGCATAGTACCAGCATGAAGACGGACATATAGACCAATAGAACAGAGACTCCAGAAATAAACCCACACATTTTTGATCAATTGATCTTCAGCAATATTGCCAGGAATGCACAATGAGAAAATAATAGTCTATTCACTAAATGGTGCTGGGAAAAATTGGATATCCACATGCAAAAGAATAAAATTGGACCCTTATCTCACACCACATACAAAAATAAACTCAAAATGGATTAAAGATTTAAATGTAAAATACAAAAACACATAAAACTACTAGAAGAAAACCTAGCGTGAAAGCTTAATGACATTGGTCTGGGCAATGATCTTTTTGATATGACCCCAAAGCACAGGCAATAAAAACAAAACAAAAAAAATGCAAACGACATTACATTAAAATAAAAAATTTCTGCACTCAAAGGAAACAATTAACAAAGCAACAATGCAACCTCTGGGAAGGAAGAAAAATATTTATAAAACATATATCTCATAAGGGGTTAATAGCTAAAACATACAAAGAACTCAGTACTGCCATCAGTGTGAATATGCACAAAAGGCACACACAGTCCTGTGCCCACCAGCACCCTGTCCCCATGCTAACATCACCATCAGTGTGAATGTACACACAGTCACCAGTGAGAACCCCTGATCCCTTGTGCCATACTGTCACCACTGCTGCTGTGAACACCCACAGGGAGGCCAACACCCCTGCACCTGCTAGAACCCTGCTTCAGCTGACAAACATGAAACCTTCTGCACTGCCACTGCCACTGGCACATGTGAGTGAGGATGGATCCCACTGTCACTGCCCTATGAAGTGCTTTGGCTGGCACCACCAATTGGGGTGCTATGACCAGCAGTCCAGGAGTACCTCAGCCCCTCCAGCACAGCAGATTCCTAACCTTGAGGACCCAGAGATCAAAGATGGGGCCTGATACTATTCCCCCAAGTTAGAACATGCAGTTCAGGAGTCCTGAGCTGAGCCTTGGTATCCTAAAGCTTTCAGTAATGAAGCCAATCAACTGAACCCATTTTATATATCAATCAAACACTCAACATTATCCAATGGGATAAAAGAAAAAAAAATCCAAAAGAGCAACTTCAAAGATTGAAGGAACTCAGCCCACAAAGATGAGAAAGAACCAGTGCAAAAACTCTGACAATTAAAAAAGCCAGAATGTCTTATTTTCTCCAAATTTTCACACTGGTCCTCCAGCAAGAGTTCTTAACTGGGCTGAGATGGTTGAAATTATAGAAATGGAATTCAGAATATGAATAGACAGGAAGATCATCAAGATTCAGGCGTACAATGAAACCCAATCCAAAAAGCTGTATGAGTCTGTTCTCACACTGCTAATACTCACCTGAGACTGGGTAATTTGTAAAGAAAAAGAGGTTTAATGAACTCACAGTTTTACATGGCTGGGAAGGCCTCACAATCATGGCAGAAGGTGAAGGAGGAGCAAAGGCACATCACATCTTATATGGTGGCAGGCAAGAGAGTGTGTGCAGGGGAACTGCATTTTATGAACCATCAGATCTCATGAGACTTATTCACTATCATGAGAACAGCATGGGAAAAACCCACCACCATGATTCAATTACCTCCCGCTGGGTCCCTCCCATGACACGTGTGGATTATGGGAGCTACAATTAAAGATGAGATTTTGGTGGGGACACAGCCAAACCATATCAGAAGCTAAGAATCACAATAAAACAATATAGGAGCTGGCAGAAAAAACAATTAGTATGGAAAAGCATGTAACCAATCTAAAAAAGCTGAAAAACACACTACAAAAGTTTCCTAATGAAATCACAAGTATTAACAGCAGAATAGATCGCCTGAGGAAAGAATCTCAAGCTTGAAGACTGGCATTCTGAAATAAGGCATCAGACAAGAACAAATTTTAAAAGAATGAAGAGAACAAACAACAACTGCAAAGAATATGGGATTATGTACAGAGACTGAACCTATGACTCATTGGTGTCCCTGAAAGAGATGGGGAGAATGGAAACAACTTGGAAAACATATTTCAGGATATCATTCATGAGAACTTCCCCAACCTAGCTAGAGAGGCCAACATTTAAATTCAGGAAATGCAGAAAAACCCTGCAAATTAATTCACAAGAAGATCATCCCAAAGACACATAATCATAAGATTTTCCAAGGTTGAAATGAAATAAAAAATGTTAAAGGCAGTTAGAAGGTACAGATCACCACAAAGGAAAGCTCAACAGACTAAGAGTGGACCTCTCAACAGAAACCCTATAAGCCAGAAGAGATTGTAGGCCTATATTCAACATTCTTAAACAAAAGAAATTCCGACCAAGAATTTCAGATCCAGCTAAACTAAGTTTTGTAAGCAAAGGAGAAATAAGATCCTTTTCAGACAAGCAAATGCTGAGGGAATTCATTACAACCAGACCTGCCTTACAAGAGCTCCTGAAAGAAGCACTAAATATGGAAAGAAAACACCATTACCAGCCACCACAAAAAACATTAAGTACACAGACTAGTGACACTTTAAAGCAGCCACACAAACAAGTCAGCCTAATAAACAGCTAATGATACAACAGGATCAAATCCACACACATCAATACTAACCTAGAATACAGATGGGCTAAATGTCTCAATTAAAAGGCACAGAGTGGCAAGTTGGATAAAAAAGCAAGACCCAATTCCCAGTGGTATGCTGTCTTTGAGAGACCCATCTCATATACAGTGACACCTACAGGCTCAAAATAAAGGGATGAAGAAAAATGTACCAAGCAAGTGGAAAACAAGAGAAAAGCAGATGTTACAATCATAATTTCAGACAAAACAGACTTTAAACCAACAAAGATTAACACACACACACACACACACACACACAGAGAGAGAGAGAGAGAGAGAGAGAGAAAGAGAGAGAGAGAAGGGCATTACATAAGGGTAAGGGGCTCAGTTCAACAAGAGGACCTACCTATCCTATATATATATATGCACTGAACACAGGAGCATCCAGATTCATAAAGCAAGTTCTTTGAGACCTTCAAAGAGACTTAGACTCCCACATATAATAGTGGGAGTCGTCAACACCCAACCGTAAGTACTAGTCAGATCACCCAAGCAGAAAATTTACAAAGATATTTAGGACCTGAACGCGACACAGGACCAAATGAATTTGATACATATCTACAGAACTATCCATCCAAAAACAAAAGAATACACATTCTTCTCATCTGCACATGGCGCACAGTCTAAAATTAGTCACATAATTAGACATAAAACAATTCTCAGCAAATTCAAGAAAACAAAAATAACATCAACACAATTGGACCACAACACAATAAAAATAGAATTCAATATGAAGAAAATTGCTCAAAACCATACATTTACATGGAAATTAAACAACCATCTTCTCAGTGACTTCTAGGCAAATAATGAAATTAAGGCAGAAATCAAAAAGTTCTTTGAAACTAATGAGAATAAAGATACAACAAGCCAGAATCCCTGGAACACAGCTAAGGCAGGGTTAAGAGGGAAATTTATAACCCTAAATGTCCACATCAAAAAGCTGGAAAGATGTCAAATTAACAAACTAACACTACATCCAAAAGAACAAGAGACTCAAGAGCAAACCAACCCCAAAGCTAGCAGAGGACAAGAATTGATCAAAATCAGAGTTGAACTGAAGGAGATTGAGACACAAAAAAAAACCATTCAAAAGATCAATGAAGCCAGGATCTTGTTTTTTGAAGAAGTTAATAAAATAGATAGACCACTAGCTAGACTACTAAGAAGGAGAGAAGATCCAAATAAATATAATAAAGGGAAGAGAAAGGATGTCCCAAAGAAACACAAATAACCACCAAAGACTATTATGAACACCTCTATGCACATAAACTAGAAAATCTAGAAGATATGGATAAATTCCTGGACTCATACACCCTCCCGAGACTGAAACAGGAAGAAACTGAATCTCTGAACAGACCAATAATGAGCTCCAAAATTGAATCAGTAATAAATAACCTACAACTGAAAAAAGCTCTAGCCCAGGTGGATTCACAGCCAAATTCTACCAGGTGTACAAAGAAGAGCTGGTATCATTACTACTGAAACTATTCTAAAAAATTGAAAAGGAAGAACTCCTCCCTAACTCATTCTATGAGACCAGTATTATCCTGATACCAACACCTGGCAGAGAGACAACAACAAAAGAAAATGTCAGGCCAATATCCTTGATGGACATTGTTGCAAAATTTCTCATTAAAGTACTAGAAGACTGAATTCAGCAACACATCGAAAAGCTAATCCACCATGATCAAGTAGGCTTTGTTCCCAGGATGCAAGTTTGGTTCAACATACGCAAACCAATAAATGCGATTCATCACATAAACAGAACTGAAGACAGAAAACCACATGATCATCTTGGTAGATGCAGAAAAGGCTTCTGATAAAATTCAACATTCTTTCATGTTACAAACTCTAAACAAACTAGGTATTGAAGGAATATACCTCAAAATAATAAGGGCCATCTATGACAAACCCACAACCAACACCATACTGAATGGTCAAAAGCTGGAAGCATTCCCCTTGAAAATCAGAACAAGACAAGAATGGCCCCTTTCACTGCTCCCACTCAGCATAGTATTGAAAGTCCTGGCCAGAGCAATCAGGCAAGAGAAAAAAATAAAAGGCATCCAAATAGGAAGACTGAAAGCCAAACTATCCCTGTTGGCAGACAACATGATTCTCTATCTAGAAAATCCCATAGTCTCAGCCCAAAAGTTCCTTAATCTGATAAACAACCTCAGCAAAATTTCTGAATACAAGATCAACATACAAAATTCATTAGCATTTCTATATACAAATAACAACCAAGCTGACAGCCAGATAAGGAAAACAATCCAATTGACAGTTGCCACAAAAAGAATAAAATACCTAGGAATACAGCTAACCAGGAAGGAGAAAGATGTCTACAAAGAAAATTACTAAACACTGCTAAAAGAAATCAGAGATGACACAAACAAATGGAAAAACATTCCATGTTCAAGGATAGGAAGAATCAATATTGTTAAAATGGACACTGCCCCAAGCAATTGACAGATTCAGTGTTACTCCTACCAAACTACCAATTACATTTTTCACAGAATTAGAAAAAAAAACTATTCTAAAATACATATGGAAACAAAAAAGATCCTAAATAGCCAAGGCAATACTAAGCAAAAGAACAAGCCAAGAGCATCATACTACCTGACTTTGAACTACACTACAAGGCTACAGTAACCAAAACAGCATGGTACTGGTACAAAAATAGACATGTAGACCAATGGAATGGGTTACAGAACCCATAAATAAAGCCAAATACTACAATCATCTGATCTTTGACAAGGTTGACAAAAACAATCAATGGGGAAAGGACTCCCAGTTCAATAAATGGTGCTGGGATAATTGGATAGCCATATGCAGAAGATTGAAACTGGACCCCTTCCTTATACCATATACAAAAATCAACTCCAGATGGATTAAAGACTTAAATTTAAAACCTCAAATTATGAAAACCCTGGCAGACAACATAGGCAATATCATTCTGGACATAGGAACTTGATATATTTCATGACAAAGACACCAAAAGCAATTGCAACAAAGCAAAAATTGACAAATGAGATCTAATTAAACTTAAGAGCTTCTGCAAAGCAAAAGAAACTACCAACAGAGTGAAGAGACAATATATAGAATGGGAGAAAATATTTGCAAATTATATATCTGAGAAAGGTCTAATATCCAGCAACTATAATAAGGAACTTAAACAAATTTACCAAAGAAAAACAAACAACCCCATTAAAAAATGGGCAGAGGACATAAACAGACACTTTTTGAAAGCAGACGTACATGTGGCAAGCAAGCATATGAAAAAAAAGGTCAATATTATTGATCACTAGAGAAATGCAAATCAAAACCACAATGAGATATCATCTCTTACCAGTCAGAATGGCTATTATGAGAAGTCAAAAAATAACAAGTGCTGGTGAGATTGTGGAGAAAAACGGAATGTTTATATACTATTGGTGAGAGTGTAAATTAGTTCAACCAGTGTGGCAAATTCCTCAAAGACCTAAGGACAGAACTACCAATCGACCAGCAATCCCGTTACTGGGTATATACCCAAAGGAATATAAATCCTTCTATTATAAAAAAATGCATGCATATGTTCATTGCAGCACTATTCACAATAGCAAAGACATGGAATCAATGTAAATGCCCATCAGTGGTAGACTGGATAACAAAAATGTGGTACATATACACCATGGAATACTATGCAGCCATAGAAAGAACAAGATTATGTTCTTTGCAAGAACATGGATGGAGCTGGAGGTCATTGTCGCTAGCAAAGTAACACAGGAATAGAAAAACAAATGTCGCATGTTCTCACTTAGAAGTGGGAGCTAAATGATGAGAACACATGGACACATAGAGGGGAACAACACACACTGAGGTTGGAGGGTGGGACTGGGGAGAGGAGCAGAAAACATAACTATTTGGTACTAGGCTTAGTATCTGGGTGATGAAATAATCTTAGTATCAAACCACCATGGCATGAGTTTACCTATATAACAAACCTGCACATGCACTTTTAAACCTAAAATAATTTTTTTTAAAAATCAGAAAAAGGAACTCAAATGACTAAATAGCAAGGAAACAAATGACCCAATTTAAAAATTGGTTTCTTAGATTTTTTGTGATCCTGTGACATACTTGAGACTAGGTAATTTATACACAATAGAAATTAATTTCTTACACTTCCGGATGCTTGGAAGTCCAAGCTTAAGGTGCTGACATTCAGTGTCTGGTAAGTGCTGCTCTCAGTTACCAAGAAAACCCTTGTCACTGCATCCTCCAAAAGGGACAAATGCTGTGTCCTTACATGGCAGAAAGATTTTATAAAAGGGGCAAAGTGAGTAAGCTAGTCCCCCTCACCCCTTTTATGAGGTTACCAATTCCATTAAGGAAGGTTCTGCCCTTATGACTTAAAAACCTCCTAAAGGCCCCACTTTTAATATTGTTCCACTGGAGATTAAGTTTTGACATGAGTTTTGGAGGTGACACCAGCATTCAAACCATAGCAATAGGCAAAAAACTTGATAGACATTTCCTAAATGAAGACATATAAATGGCCAGCAGGGCAATGCAAATCAAAATCACAAGGAGACATCACTTCATACGTGTCCGAATGACTATTATCAAAACCACAAAAGGTTAAGTGTTGGCCAGGATGTGGAGAAAAGGGAACCCTCATACACTATTGGTGGGAATGTAAATTGCTATAGCCATTATTGTGTCCAGAATTGGTGGGTTCTTGGTCTCACTGACTTCAAGAATGAAGCCGCAGACCCTCGCGGTGAGTGTTACAGTTCTTAAAGGCAGCATATCCGGAGTTTGTTCCTTCTGATGTTTGGATGTGTTCGGAGTTTCTTCCTTCTGGTGGATTCGTGGTCTCGCTGGCTCAAGAGTGAAGCTGCGGACTTTCGCGGTGTTACAGCTCATAAAGGCAGTATGGACCCAAAGAGTGAGCAGCAGCAAGATTTATTGCAAAGAGCAAAAGAACAAAGCTTCCACAGTGTGGAAGGGGACCTGAGCAGGTTGCCACTGCTAGCTCGGGCAGCCTGCTTTTATTCTCTTATCTGGCCCCACCCACATCCTGCTGATTGGTCCATTTTACAGAGAGCCCAGCCCTCTGTTTTGACAGGGTGCTGATTGGTGCGTTTACAATCCCTGAGCTAGACACAAAGGTTCTCCACATCCCCACTAGATTAGCTAGATACAGAGTGTCAACACAAAGGTTCTTCAAGTCCCCACCAGAGTAGCTAGATACAGAGTGTTGATTGGTGCATTCACAAACCCTGAGCTAGACACAGGGTGCTGATTGGTGTGTTTACAAACCTTGAGCTAGATACTGAGTGCCGATTGGTGTATTTACAATCCCTTAGCTAGACATAAAGGTTCTCCAAGTCCCCACCAGTCAGGAGCTCAGCTGGCTTTACCTAGTGGATCCCATACCGGGAGCCACAGGTGGAGCTGCCTGCCAGTCCGGCGCCGTTTGCCCACACTCCTCAGCCCTTGAGTGGTCGATGGGACTGGGCGCCAGGGTGGAGCAGGGGGCGGCGTTCGTCGGGGAGGCTCGGGCCACACAGGAGCCCACGGAGGGTTGGGGAGGCTCAGGCATGGCAGGCTGCAGGTCCCGAGCCCTGCCCCACAGGGAGGCGGCTAAGGCCCAGTGAGAAATCAAGTGCAGCGCCGGTGGGCCGGCACTGTTGGGGGACCCAGCACACCCTCTGCAGCCACTGGCCCAGGTGCTAAGCTCCTCATTGCCCAGGGCTGGGAGGGTTGGCTGGCGGCTCGGAGTGTGGGGCCCGCCGAGCCCACACCCACCCGGAACTCGTGCTGGCCCGCGAGCACCAGGTGCAGCCCGGGTTCCCACCCGCACCTCTCCCTCCACACCTCCCCACAAGCTGAGGGAGCCAGCTCCGGCCTCAGCCAGCCCAGGAAGGGGCTCCCAAAGTGCAGCGGCGGGCTGAAGGGCTCCTCAAGTGCCACCAAAGTGGGAGCCCAGGCAGAGGAGGTGCTCATAGCGAGCGAGGGCTGTGAGGGCTGCCAGCACACTGTCACCTCTCATTATGACAAACAATATGGAGGCTTCTTGAAAAATTAAAAATTAAGCTACCATATGATACAGCAATCTCACTACTGGGTGTATATCCAAAGGAAATTAAATTGGTATCTGAAATTGCTTGCTTTCAGCGTGAAGAACTTCCTTCAGTCCTGGTAGCAATTAATTTTTTCACTGCTTTTTTAAATCTGTGAATGTTACCTTCAGTTTTCAGAGGTATATTTGCTGGATATAAGATTCCCAGTTTTTGTGGGTTTGTGGGTTTTCATTTGTTTGGTCTGTCAGCACTTTCGTTTAGTTATCCCATTCTCTCTGGCCTCCACTGTTTCTGATAACAAATCACCTGTTAAGCTTATTGGGACTCCCTTGTATATGAAGAGTCAATTTTCTCTTGCAGATTTTAAGACTTTTTCTGTCTTTTAACATTTGTACTGTGGTATGTCTGATTGTGGACCTCTTTGTGTTTATACTGCTTAGAGTTTTTTGAGCTCCCTGGATGTGTGCAGATTAATGTTTTTTGTCAAATTTGAAAAGTTTTCAGCCATGATTTCTTTCATTATTATTATTATTATTATACTTTAAGTTCTGGGGTGCATGTGCACAATGCGCAGGTTTGTTACATAGTGCCATGTTGGTCTGCTGCACCCATCAACTTGTCATTTACATTAGGTATTTCTCCTAATGCTATCCCTCCCCTAGACCCCCCACTCCCATACAGGCCCCAGTGTGTGATGTTCCCCTCCCTGTGTCCATGTGTTCTCATTGTTCAGCTCCCACCCATGAGTGAGAACACGTGTTTGGTTTTCTCCTCCTGTGTTACTTTGCTGAGAATGATGGTTTCCAGTTTCATCTGTGTCCCTGCAAAGGACACGAATGCGTCCTTTTTTACGGCTTCATAGTATTCCATGGTGTATATGTGCCACATTTTCTTTATCCACTCTATCATTGATGGGTATTTGGACTGGTTCCAAGACTTTGCTATTATGAACAGTGCTGCAATAAACATATGTGTGCATGTGTCTTTATAGCATAATGATTTATAATCCTTTGGGTATATACCCAGTAATGGGATTGCTGGGTCAAATGGTATTTCTAGTTCTAGATCCTTCAGGAATCACCACACTGTCTTCCACAATGGTTGAACTAATTTACACTCCCATCAACAGGGTAAACATGTTCCTATTTCTCCACATCCTCTCCAGCATCTGTTGTTTCCTGACTTTTTAATGATCATCATTCTAACTGGCATGACATGGCATCTCATTGTGGTTTTGATTTGCATTTCTCTAATGACCAGTGATGATGAGCATTTTTTCATAAATCTGTTGGCTGCATAAATGTCTTATTTTGAAAAGTGTCTGTTCATATCCTTTGCTCATTTTTTGATGGGGTTGTTTGTTTGTTTCTTGTAAATTTGTTTAAGTTCTTTGTAGATTCTGGATATTAGCCCTTTGTCAGATGGATAGATTGCAAAAATTTTCTCCCATTCTGTAGGTTGCCTGTTCACTCTGCTGATAGTTTCTTTTGCTGTGGAGAAGCTCTGTAGTTTAATTAAATCCCATCTGTCTATTTTGGCTTTTGTTGCCATTGCTTTTGGTGTTTTAGTCATGAAGTCTTTGCCCATCCCCATGTCCTGAACAGTATTGCCTAGGTTTTCTTCTAGGGTTTTTATGGTTTTAGGTCTTACGTTTAAGTCTTTAATCCATCTTGAGTTAATTTTTGGATAAGGTGTAAGGAAGGGATCCAGTTTTAGCTTTCTGCATCTGGCTAGCCAGTTTTCCCAGCACCTTTTATTAAATAGGGATTCCTTTCCCCATTGCTTGTTCTTGTCAGGTTTGTCAATGATCAGATGGTTGTAGATGTGTGGTGTTATTTCTGAGGCCTCTGTTCTGTTACATTGGCCTATATATCTGTTTTGGTACCAGTACCATGCTGTTTTGGTTACTGTAGCCTTGTAGTATAGTTTGAAATCAGGTAGCGTGATGCCTCCAGCTTTGTTCTTTTTGCTTAGGATTGTCTTGGCTATGCGGGCTCTTTTTTTGGTTCCATATGAAATTTAAAGTAGTTTTTTTCCAATTTTGTGAAGAAACTCAGAGGTAGCTTTATGGGGATAGCATTGAATCTATAAATTACTTTGGGCAGTATGACCATTTTCACGATATTGATTCTTCCCATCCATGAGCATGGAATGTTCTTCCATTTGTTTCTGTCCTCTTTTATTTCCTTGAGCAGTGGTTTGTAGTTTTTCTTGAAGAGGTTCTTCACATCCCTTGTAAGTTGGATTCCTAGGTATTTTATTCTTTTTGTAGCAATTGTGAATGGGAGTTCACTCATGATTTGGTTCTGTTTGTCTGGTATTGGTGTATAGGAATGCTTGTAATTTTTGCACATTGATTTTGTATCCTGAGACTTTGCTGAAGTTGCTCATCAGCTTAAGGAGTTTGGGCTAAGACGATGGGGTTTTCTAAATATACAATCATGTCATCTGCAAACAGAGACAACTTGACTTCCTCTTTTCCTAATCAAATGCCGTTTATTTCTTTCTCTTGCCTGATTGCCCTGGCCAGAACTTCCAATACCATATGTTGAATAGGAGTGGTGAGAGAGGGCATCCTTGTCTTGTGCTGGTTTTCAAAGGGAATTCAGCCATAATTTCTTTGAATGTATTTCTGCACCTTCCTCTCCTCACCTTCTGTTACTCCCATTATTAGTATGTTGGTGTGTTTAATGGTCCTCTACATTACTCTAGGCTTTGCTTATTTTTCTTCATTATTTTTTTCTTTCTGTTTCTCATACTGGATAACCTCAGTTGATGTATCTTCAAGTTCACCGATTCTTTCTTTTGCTGGCTTAAATCTGCTATTGAAGCTCTCTAGTCATCCTGAGGTGATTGTAGTTTTGGCAGGATTCTTTATTACTATCTCTTCTCTGAACTCTGTTAGAGTGTCTGCTCCCATTGATGCCAAAACCAGCTACTAGATTCCATTAATTTTGTTGGTTGCTCTACTGTTTTGGACAAATTCTCTGGGACACTCATTGCTCTACAATCTCTTTCAATTAAATTTGGTTCTTTTTTTATGGGCACTTTTTAAAGCCAGTCTCTGAGATTTGTTCTGATTCTAGAAGAGCTCTTGTTAGTTGTTTCTTATGCTGTTCTTTCTGCTAAACTATCTGTCTTTATGGAGATTTAGTAGATTTCAATGAATAAATATTACTTCATTTACTATATGCCCTTAGGACAATTTTAGAAGACATTAGGTCATATGTAATATATATAATTTTCTTCACTTTCGGTTGTTTTTCTGGGGAGTGGGTTCATGGAGCTACTTTTGCCACCATTCTAGAAGTAGAATCCTCAGCAAATTCTTGAAGGAAAATCTGAGCAGCACAGCTCTAGGGCTGCCACTTCAGTTGAATTACTAACACCTGGGTTCAATAATGGCCTATGCTGAATGAAGTTGAGATGACAGGATTTTGGGTATTATGTAGAAGAGGGAATTTAAAAGATACAAATGTTGGAGTGGATTTACCACGTGCAACCAGTTTACTCATGTCTAATTAGGTACCCTGAAAGGGTTTGGAGAACACTGTCTTCACCAAAACATTGAAAGTTACTTTGGCCTGGGGAACATTAGCATTCTTGAAAAGCCCTAGAGTAGTGACTGCACTCTGGGAATAAAGATAGGAGAGGTTGCACTTAATTACCAGAGGTAAGGCAGACATATAGGCAGACATATGTATACAAGGCAGTTGGGCCAGCATGGTAATCAGGAGGATTTGAACTACAAGAATATTTGGCTGTGACTAGTTGATCCTGATATCCCTCAGAGTGACACAGAAGGCCACCCACTTTGGTCCTGTGTGGTCCATATGACTCTAGGTCTGGAATGACTGGTCTTTAAAAGGGAAAATAGAGTTGCAGCTCCAAAATGGGGCAGGGAGGAGTATATTTGGATCCATTGTTTGGATCCATGCAATGGATCCCCTTGAGCATCTCCTATTACACCCACTCAATGCTGAAGTGGAAGGTTATCAGGGGAACCCGCCCCCAATATTTCAATGTAGGTTTTTCCTATTTGCCATAAGTGTCAGCTGGCTGAGAAATAAAGAGAAAGAGTACAAAGAGAGGAATTTTACATCTGGGCCACCAGGGGTGACATCACATATCGGTAGGACCGTGATGCCCACCTGAGTCTCAGACCAGCAAGTTTTTATTAAGGATTTCAAAAGGGGAGGGGGTGGAAGAACAGGGAGTAGGTATAAAAATCACATGCTTCAAAGGGCAAAAAGCGAACAAAGGTCGCATGTTTATGAGGGAACAGGACAAAAGGCAAAACAGAACTACTGATAAGGGTCTATGTTCAGCTGTGCACGTATTGTCTTGATAAACATCTTAAACAACAGAAAACAGGGTTCAAGATCAGAGAACAGGTCTAACCACAAATTTACCAGGGCAGAGTTTTTCCCCATACTAATAAGCCTGAGGGTACTGCAGGAGACCAGGGCGTATCTCAGTCCTTATCTCAAGTGCATAGGACAGACACTCCCAGAGCGGCCGTTTATAGACCTCCCCCCAGGAATGCATTCCTTTCCCAGGATATTAATATTTCTTGCTAGGAAAAGAATTTAGTGATATCTCTCCTACTTGCACATCTGTTTATAGGCTCTCTGCAAGAAGAAAAATATGGCTTTTTTTGCCCAACATCACAGGCAGCCAGACCTTATGGTTGTCTTCCCTTGTTCCCTAAAAATCACTGTTATTCTGTTCTTTTTTAAGGTGCACTGATTTCATATTGTTCAAACCCATATGTTACACAATCAATTTGTACAGTTAACACATTATCACAGTGGTCCTGAGATGACGTACATCCTCAGCTTATGAAGATAACAGGATTAAGAGATTAAAGTAAAGACAGGCATAAGAAATTATAAAAGCATTATTTGGGAACTGATAAATGTCCATATTAAAATAAAATCTTCACAATTTGTTTTCCTCTGCCATGGCTCCAGCCGGTCCCTCCGTGCGGGGTCCCTGACTTCCCACAACAGAAGATGTACATACTCAGGATCCAGCAAATTCTCTTCTATGTTTCTAACCTTGAGAAACTCTGAAGCATGTAAGAAATGAGGCATATATAAGGATGTTTAATGTAGCACTGTTTATAAAAAAAGAAAAAGTGAAACAATTCAAATGGTCCCCAGTTGGGAAATTGTTTATTCATTCAATAAAATATTGTAAAACAGTTGAAACAGATATTAGAGCTATGTTTATGAACATGAATAAATCTTAAAAATACAATGTTGAATGAAAAAATAATTTGCAAAAGGACGTATACAGAAGGATGTCATTTATGTAAATTTTTGAAATAGCTAAAGCAAATCATATATACTGTTTTTGGTTACATGAATTATGTAGTGAAAACGTAAAGCTTAATAGCAATGATTCACACCAACACCATGTGAGTGATGTTATACCAGTGAGAGAAAGACAAATAGATGAGGAGGGCATTAACTTTATTTGTACCATTTCATGGCTTTTAAAATAGAAATTTGAAGCAGAGATAGCAAAATGTTGACATCTTTTTCATCAGGGTTGTGTGCTTACAGACATATGTTACATAACTTTGGGAACTTTATCCTTAAATATTTCATAATTCAAAATAAACACTTTAAAAAGGAAATTGCTTCTTCATATCAACAAATTATTTGTAAAGAATTAGTATTTTTACTAAGTCCTCACTGACATACACAAAATCTCAAGACCATATGATGTAATTGTAGAAGGTACCCCTTTTATTCACCCTTTATATCAGAAAGATAAAGAGATGTGGGATGTGTAACCCAGAAATGCAGGACATGTTAAAAGTAAATTATACAAAATATTAGGGATTGTGTCTTGGAGAAATGCCACCTGTCTACTTCCAAAGCTTAGATTATAAGTTAATGGATTTTCAAATGGATTGTTTTGCCATCTACAAACTTATAACCAAATGTAATTATGACCTTACACTATAAGTAAGTGCAAGAGAGTCATCTTTGCTATTTGGTCATTCATGCTCCCACAATTGGCAGGAAATATGATTCCCTACTTGACAAGTAAAGAGAAACCTTTGAGAAACATGAGAGGTGTCACTATTATCATCATTGTACATTATATAATTGCTGGCACCCAGCAATTATATAAAATAGCAGACAGTTGAGCTTCATCAGATCCTCTAAACTTTCTAATTATACAGATAAGAATATATATCTGGAAAGTGGAATTCTATGTCTAAAATCACCCCTGTACTCTACAGTAGGTTGGTTTTCTTTATTGGCTTTTTTAGGGACAGCAAAATGCTCCATTTATTTCCTTGTGTACAATTAAACATAGAGTAGAACAACAAATAAAAATTGAGTTCTTGGAGGCAGTGTACTCAAGTCTTATGTCTCATAATGCTACTTTAACAAAAGTATAAATCTCCATGGTGATTCATTTACTCTTCCAACTTATCCTATGAGATATTTTCCCAGGATTTTTAACATTAAAAGGTAGTAGGTCAAAGTGCTTAGCTATAGTACAATATAATAAGATTTTAAATTATGATTAATATTCTCATTTCCCCACAATAAATATTTTAAAGTACTATATATTTTTTAAATTATATACTTGTACAATATTGTACATTTGGCCCCTGGTGCTGTGGTTTTAAATTATCTAGAATTGGGGATAATATTGCCAAATAGAGCTGTTTCTAATTCTACCTCACTCTGTAATAAATACTTCAGGAGCACTAAGTATGTGATGGGCGAAAGAAAACCGATATGCCTCATCACAAACATTATGTATTTCCTATTGAGGAGAGAGATGCTGGGCAGGTTAGCACCCCTGTAAGTATTAAAAAATTTAAAATTTATCACTTTTTTAAGCTACTATTATAGTAGCTAAAATCAGACAAAAATTATGAAACCATTTCAGATATTCTGTAATATTAGCCAAAAACATAATTTTTCATCAACATGAAAAATATAATCATACTGTCCTGCCCAAATACTTATGAGTTACATTTCTCTCAAATATTTTAAACTATAGATTTGCTTGTTTTTCTTCTTCTCTCTTCTTCTACTGTCAGAAACTTTGCCTTCAAAGTGCATGTTTCTTTTTATTCTTCTAGCAAATCTATGATTCTAACATCTTAAACATATCAACTTCTTGGGTTAACAAAAAATTTTCTCTGGTACAATCAATCTCAGTAATATGATGATGATATTTCGGTAGAAACCATCTGCAAAAGTATTATTGCCAAGAGCAGAAAACTGGCACAATTAATTTGTAACACATAATAAAGGCCTTTCTCAGCTTCATTTCCTTGGTAGATGCTTTTTGGGGGCAATACTTTAAAAACCCAATGCAATGCAGCAGAACTATCCAAAGTTCTCATGAAAACAAAAGTTACCAGAGGGAGTGCATGAGCAAGGTAAGAAATGGTGCAGCACGCCAGGCCCTCAGGAGCTGAGTGAGTGCTCCCAGCAGCAAGGCTGCCAGGCCAGTTTGCTTCCCTGGCAGGCAGAAGGGCCTTCCAGCATTGATATAAAAATGGGAAGACAAAAATGAGGGAGAGAAAAGGGGAGAGGTTGTGTTAACACACAGGGAAAAGAGCTGAGAAGGAACATGGACAAACAAATGGTTCATGTCAGTCAGACTAATTCTTAGCAACGAAAACTTCTTAACTTCTACTTCAGACTATGACACCATAGCTACGTGGCTAGTGATTTAAAATTCATTCTAATACTGGAAACAAGGAAACATAAAGCATCACTGAAACTATTGACCTGAATTTGCTATTATTTGTTATAGACACACATGTAATTATCATGAAAATACAATGTACCACTGCTTAAATTTCCCTGTCTTACTTATGATCATGTAATCAATAGTCTCCACATTTACTCTCAGTCACCTCTACCTCAAGTTCATGGTGTTGAGTTCCCATTAGTATAGTTGCATTAAATTGCCAGACTATATTAATTTAAAATATCTACAAAAAAAGATAAAACCACTCTAAAATTAAATTACAAAAGAAGTTATAACTAACCTAACTGGATATCCAACAAAGATCCATTTTCTGTGAATATTTGTAGTTAAAATTGAAGCAGACTTTGAAAAATTCTAGTTTTAAATTTACCATTTGCATTTGGGAATGGTGATTATGCTAAGGAAAACAATGTGGTAACGGGGAATAAGGAAGAGATAGAGAAAGTTCTAAGAGCTGTGACTTGCATTAGTGAACTGGTCATCAATAATGTTTATATATGACTGCTGAAATATTTAAAAAAGTCAAAGCTCCTTCAAAAATACATTGTATGTGTAGTTGTTTAAATGGTGTATAAGAAAATCTTGTTCAATGATACTTTGTATTTCAATAAATTATACTCTCCAGTTCTCAGTAAACAGAAAAAAAAAATCTAAACTCCATGAGTCAGATAAGATAAACTTTAAGGAAAACGTTTTGTAAATATGTTAATAAAATTTTGGTATAACATTGGTGACACCAGTCAAAATCAAATACTATATTGTGTTATTTATTTTTGTTTATAACTTTTCTGTCATTTTTAGAGATTTGAGTAATAGTGGAAAACTGCAATTTCTTGGTCTTCCATTTTAACCTAAGATCTGTAAACCATTAACCACTTAAAAAGAAGTTTTAAAAAAATCTGTATTGATAATTCTTTATATTATTTAAAAAATACCATTTTTTGAATACACCAAACATCCAAAATGTAATTAAGACTGTGGCATAAAATATAAAGTGGATACACAAATGAATTGTGTGAAGTAGCTAGCCTAGGAGGAAAATATTAAAACATGCTCCCATGGTTCTTATTTTAAATTTCTTAGATTAACAGTGTTGAAACTTTTCAGGTTTTCTTCACCTTTCTTCTCCAACCTATTATGTCCTTTCTCCCCAGTGAAGTTCTGCATTTTTATACAATGACAGTCAACATAAATTATATGATTATAAATAAATAAAGTGATTCCATAAGCAGCACATGGAAATTATACCTACATACCATTGGACATTATATTTGAGACAGATGGCTTTTTTAGGCCTGGTCTCCTCTGGGATAGTTGAGACAGTTGGATTAGAATTCTGGATGTTTAAAAAGCACACACATACAAATAAACTATGGCTTCAATTGAGGAAAGAGTACATGAGTTCTTTACTGTCTCATATGATTATTCTCCTGACCATGTGTCTTGTGTCAACATGGATTATTTATATTTAAAAGGATTTTTAAGATGCAAGATTCATCAGCATGATGCAAGAAGATAAAATGCTTTCATGTTTCAATGGGTGAGTTTCATGTTTAACAAGCTGTTTTTAAAAGATACAATGAGGCTTGGTTTATTGCTTAATCAGTCAACTAAAATGAAAGAAGTTCTGACTTGTGTCTTCCCTAGGATATCCCCATGACTAGAGTAAGCCATTTGTGTTACTGTAGAAAAAGATGTGTTGAGGCTTTTTCTCTGAGAAGGAATACGGAGAAACCAGGTCTACTAAGAAAAGATGGACAATGGCAGCTGCTGAGAAGGGTGGGTCACCAAGAAGCTGTGAGGACCCAAAGTATTGAATGCAGAAATCATGCCAATAGCTTTTTTCCCCAAGAATCGTTTTAGGATGAGTTACATGTTATATAAAATAATGACTGACAATAGTTAAAACTCCTAAATAAATCCTATTCTAAATAACTTATTCTTCAACAGTTATGTTAGTATGAGTAATTGATATGCATCAAATTAGTAAAAATTATTTGTATTTTTATTTTTAAAATAGAAGTTATTTTAAAAGTAAGAAATTTTATTATAATGTTTGTATGAGTAAACATGCAGTGTGGTACAGTAGGGAAAAAAATCATAAAATACTTTGGAGTAACATTATCAGGACATGTGTAAAATATAGGAAGAAAGGGAAGTACAGAAGATAACATAAATAGATGGAGATAATTAACATTTTCCAAATAGGAGGACTGAGCCTACAAAGTGGTTAATTTCACCCAAAGCAATCTGTGCAATTAATATACTCTTGGTCAAAATGCCAATGGAATTTATGGGTTTTTTTTTAAGATTGTGATGTTTAAGATTAAATTTTAAAACTATTGAAAAGTCAGATTGATGAGGAATTAATAATGTTACCGAGTATTACAAAATGGTATAAAGTCATAATAACAAGTTAGTGTGGTTCTGAGAGAGGAAAAGACAAATAAGTAAATGAAACAAAACAATGGTTCAGAAGTGTTCACGTGGGAAATGCAACAATACAAACCAATGGGGAAACGTAAACAATGATTTTGCAACCAAATATAAGCTAGGTGGAAAAACTTTAGATATTCACCTCATATATTAGACAAAATTAAATTTTCAATGAATTAAACTGCTAATTCAAAAAATCAAAATACTTGTATAAAAAATAGGTAGACTAATATTTATCTCTCCATGGGAAATAATTCCAAGCTTAAAACAGTAAAAGAAAAATAAAGGAAGACACAACTTGGTTAACTACATAACAATAAAAGATATTCATATGGAAAAACATAATATGGAAAATCAAGAGTAACACAAAACCAAAGAAATATAAAACGGTAAAAATTTTCTATAAATAATGAAGCATAGAAATGCAAAAAAAAAGAATATCAATGAATAGTTTAAACTACCTATGGATTAGAAACTATAAGAAGAAAAAAATGTTAATTTCTTTATAAAATGCAAGTATTATTGAGGTATCATTCAACTGTAAAGTTAGCAAAGATTTAAAAAGTATAATACAGAGTAAAAAATGAAAAAGGTATTCTGTTCAGAATAAAATGGCAAAATTTGTGGGAGGAAACAGTGTGACCACTTGCTTCAAGAGCCTTAGAAATACTTTTATCTTCTCATCACCATTTTATTTCTAATAATAAGAAAATAATCATATTTAAACAAAGATTTATGCACACAGATGTTTGCTGTAGCATTAGTTATACTAGTGAAAAAAACAGACACAATATGTATGCCTATTAGTGAAATGTACAAGTTGTTGTGTTATAAAGTGGAAAATTTGCTGTAATTATAAATATGATCATAAAACCACAAATAATTACATGAAAAGTGTTTATGACACAGCGAAGGGCCACTGTGACTGGGCCTCATGCCAAACAACTTTTACAAAAAAAGCTAGGGTCCCGGACAATACCAAAGCTTCATGAGACCTCTCCTCATCTGTGCATGGATGGGTAGCCAACTCTGGAGCCCAGGCTGTTGCTTCCCAGTCTGGTGGTGAATCCCCTCCATACTATGGTGAGTTAGTGTCCGACTCTGGAGGTCAGCCTGTTGTTACTTCTGACTCTGGAGCCCAGACTGTTGCTTCTCAGTCTGGTGGTGAATCCTCCATAATCTGGTGAGTGTGGTGTCCGACTCTGGAGCCCAGGCTGTTGCTTCCCAGTCTGGTGGTGAATCCTCCATAGTCTGGTGAGTGTATATGTGTATACATATATATACATGTATATATATGTATGTATGTATCTTTTCCTTCTCCCCTTCCCATTGCAATTTGCTTATTATATCAATCTGCTTATTATATCAATTTGCTTATTATATCATTTGCTTATTATATCCGCATTGCCATTTACATGGGATAAAGGTTGTTTACCCTTACAGGTATTGTATGTGTGTCTTTTCTTCTCCCCTCACATGTTCCCCACACAGAACAATTAGCAGCTGTGTGACCCTTGAAATAAAAATAAAACGAGGTTAGAGTGTTGAGTTCTTTCTTTTACTATTAAGACAGAGTAAAGAAATGTGTAAATAATACCTGGAAATCAAGCCTTATATTGAATATAATCTTTATACTGGTTGGAAATTATATAAGTCATTATTGGTAGAGAATGTTAATTGAATGTTTTTAAAGTGTTGTGGTACTTATTATTGACATGTACACAGAAAATGTTCCACATATAGATTTTACCTGCTTTTAAAAGATAGTCTTTGATTCAATTGGTAAATTATTGATAAATTTGGCAATGTAACGAAAAGATCCAGGGCATTATTTCAGCTCTGTTACAAAATACCTACGAATGCAACACAGTAACATTGTCAGTAGAAAATCATTAATGATAAAGGATTGTATCATGAATTTTCTTGCAAGTTCAAGATGATGTTGAATTGCATGAATCACTAATAAATCAGATTAGTCCACTAGGTTATCTGAATCCACAAGTCTTCTCCAACAGCAGCAAGCTATGGTTTTACATTTCTATTAAAATGCGTAGCAAAAACTTAGTAAGCTTTTTATCTATTATATTTCAGTCAGTATCAAGTGCCAATAGCCATGATCACAGTACTTTTTAGTTCTATTTCTTAAAATTGCTACATTTCTTTGCTTTATCATATTTTTCAACTTAATTACTGGCATCTTGGGTCTGTAAATAAGCTTTGATAGAAAAGACACACCATTATTATTTTGTCCATTTGAAATATTAAAGGGTGTCACTCCCTCAGTTGGAAATTTTACTCTAAGACATCTTAATCCATTCAGAAGTTCTAAACAATTTGAAAAGCTATATACCTTAATTTGGTTGTTGCCACCAGACTGAGATTTAATCGGCTCTTGTGACTCAAAATTCTTCTCAGTTTTATATTTTATCAGTTGGAGTCGAGAAAAACTTTCCTCTTTGATACTGAAAGACCTTGAAATCATGTACTCTATTTCCATTCACTCCTGCTTGTAAGCTAATTCTTTCCTGATCTTACTTTATATAATTCCCTATCAAATGCAGCCAACATCAACCAACACACACTACTAAAGCTATTTTAACCACTTTTCTGAGAACTACAGGTTTATGAGGTACATTATCTTATTTTCACATCTTTATCAAAAATAATTTTACCAAATATTTTGCTATTGAATAACATTGATTGTGATTCAGCATTCAAAGTAGTCTTTTCACTGCCTCGGACCAAAAAGCTAAGCCTGTGTCACATATTTTGACATTTCTCTTTGAATATCA
The DNA here is from genome assembly GCF_000001405.40 of Homo sapiens. Taxonomy (NCBI): domain Eukaryota; kingdom Metazoa; phylum Chordata; class Mammalia; order Primates; family Hominidae; genus Homo; species Homo sapiens. The sequence goes on along the minus strand of NC_000004.12, from coordinate 79,108,732 downwards.
ATTTTTGTATCTGTCAGAATAGGCTAGGATACACTTCAGTAACAAACAAAAATCTTATGGCTTATCACATAAACATATATTTCATGTCCAAAGTGAGTCTGCAATGGCTGTGTTCATCAGTCTCCTAAGGACTTGGAATGATAGAGATTTAATATTAATATATACTTTTAAAATTCCTGCATTAAGGAGAAAGTAACATGGAAAATCATGCATAGGTTTTTAGGTTTTTCACAAGGAACTGACAAAAATCACTTGGCTAGAGCAAGTACATAATCATGCCTAATATCAATGGAGACAGGTAAGTGCAATCTTACTATGCACGCAGGGGGAGAGCCAGAAATATCTGGTGACCTACACTAATGGCATTTGAAAATAGACAGAATTAAATAATTATTTCCTTCTTTTGCTTATTACTATAATTTTGCTAATGCAATATTTACAAATAATATGAATAGAAAGAGGTGAAATGGCAAAAACAATACTGGATTCCTCAAAAAAGGCATGCACACCCAGTGTAAGATTCTCAAGTTATTAACTCAAGTTGTCAGACCAAATCACAAATTGAAAACAATGAACAAAAAATGTAATCTCAAGATCTTTTAAAATTATTGATATGTCCCTATAGCTCTGTCTAAAAGATAATGATAGTCAATGATACGGAAGAATAAAATATATCAAATAATTTTCTGAACAAAGATGAGGTAGGATTGTTTCTATATAATCCTTTCAAATACTTATCATTTAGAAAACCTTCAGATAATATATTACTATTTACACAGCATTCAATCAGTAACTTAATTACAAATATATAGCCATATTCTTTACTGTTTCATAAATAAACTACTGTACAGGGTAGTAATTGCTGGTATATATCTCTTATCTATTTCTGTTAAGATTATAATTCACATATAATGCAAAGTGTTCAACCAACTAATCTCAAATTTTTTAGGGCTCCTCACTGTGTCATCTTTATAGCTGTTAGTGGCAATAAATTATTTACTTACTCGAATTATTAGACTTAGAAGAAATGGGACACACCATGGCTACATGCAATAAACAAATACTTAAAGTTCTTTCATGAAATCTTGCAATCTTACATAACCACATCTTACAAATCCTGTTTGAAAAATTTCTTTAAATTCTACAGAATTATAATAAAATAGCAGGATCTTTATATATTGAATATAAAAGACTATGGGTTAAAATGTTTTTTAAGCAAGGGAAAGGTTTCAAAGAATAGTGCTTAATTTTTCTCAAAAAATAACAGAGATAAGGCTGCTCTCAAGAAGGCCAACTAGATGCATCCAGGAGGAACATCTGCCACCAAGGGTCCAGGACATTAGGAAGACTGGCACACTCCAAGCACTGTCAGTGGACAGAGGGAAGACACATAAGCTGGTCTGAAGGTGGAGGAAGCTGGGAACCCTGCATGGGGCTACCATGTACTGGGACTCGCTCCTGGCCCCCAACAACTCCTGGGGAAGTGGTGAGTTGAGCAGGCAAGGAGCAACCCACCAGGCACCTCTGGAACCCTGGCAGCAGGAGACCCCATGACCTCCATGAACACCTGAGCTGGCAGGGAGAGCTGCTTAGAGAGATGGTAGAGGCAGAATTCCAGCCAGTGCAGAGCCCAGAGGGTTTGGTGTGGGAATGTCTGTAGTGAAGCCCAGCAAGGGATGTCCATCCCCCTAGGCTCACCTTGCTCTCCTAGGAGAATCTAGCCCTAGGGAAACTGTTGGACCTGAACAGTGAAGGGCAATCTTGTCCATGAGATGAAGCCAGTCTGACCTGAGAGCCCCACTGTCTACCGGTCTCTCCCAGGATCCCAGCCTGGATGCACTTGCTTGTAGTGCAGCCTTGGATGCTCAGCTGAGGTAACTCCCAGATGCCTGCATCATAGCTCCTGCACTGATAAATCATGCCTGAGCATCAGGGAGCTCCAGTAGGGCAGCCCCCACTACCAGGTACCAAATTACCTGCTCCCGCCCACCACCACAGCCTTGGCCATGCTGGTTTGCCTGTGTGCACTTGTCCATGGCTGCCCACCACATCACTTTGCCAGTGAGTGGGTGCAGGAAGACTTCACCTCCTCTTCCCTGCCAGTGTGCATGTGTGCCCCATCATGACACTGCTGCCAGCATAAGCACACCTCATACACCCTGTCCAACATGAAGGAGCACAAGGAGACTAGTAGCCCCACCCCCCTACTCTGTGTTGTTACTGCCACTTGTGTATTTATATGCACATGGAGATCACCAGCATCACACCCCTCAGTACCTCACCCCCATGTTGACACAACCTCCAGTCCAAACCTATGCACAGAGACCAACAGCCTCATCCCCCATCCTGCATAGCTGCTACTGCCCACATGAATGAGTAAATGGAGAGTGCCAGCTCCAGGCCTGCCAACAACCCCCAAGCTGACCATCACCAGCACAAATATGTGTATGGATGCTGGCAGGCTCCCACCACCCAATAAAACACTTTGGTTGGCACCACCCATTGAGTGTTGTAACCAGATGTCTGAGAAAACCTCAGCCCCTCCAGTGCAGCAGATTCCTAAACTTGAGGGGCCAGAGAACAAAGCAAGGGGTCTGATATTAGCCTCTCAGAGTTAGGGCACACAGTGCAGCAGTCCTGAGATAAGCCTTGGCTCCCTAAAATATTCCAGGAATGAAGCCAGTTGACTAAATCCACCTTTATAGCATAATCAAACCCCCAAGGACACTAAAGAGGATAAAAGAAAAAAAAATTCATCCAAAAGAGAGTAACTTCAAATATTAAAAGAACATCAGCCCATGAAGATGAGAAAGAACCAATGCAAGAACTCTGGCAACTCAAAAAGCCAGAGTGTCTTCTTACCTCCAAATGAAAGCACTAGTTCCTCAGCAATGGTTCTTAACCAGGCTGAAATGGCTGAAATGACAGAAATAGAATTTGGAATATGGATAGGAATGAAGATTTTTGACATTCAGCATAAAGTCAAAACCCAATTCAAGGAATCTAAAGGTTATTGTAAAATGATACAGGAGCTAATAGATGAAATATCCATTATAGAAGGAACCAAACTGATCTGATAAAGCTGAAAAGCACAATACAAGAATTTCACAATGTATTCACAAGTATTAACAGCAGAATAGGCTAAGCTAAGCAAAGAATCTCAGAGCACGAAAACCTGCTCTACAAAATAACTCAATCAGACAAAAATTTTTTAAAAAGTAAAGAAGAGTGAATAGGCAACCTACAGAATAAGAGAAAATTTGTGTAATGTATCCATCTGAGAAAGGTCTAATATCCAGAATCTACAAGGAACTCAAAGAAATTTACAAGGAAAACACAAACAATCCCATCAAAAAGTGGATGGAGGATATGAACAGACAATTCTCAAAAGAAGACATTTATGCAGCCAACAAACTTATGAAAAACAGCTCATCATCACTGGTCATTAGAGAAATGCAAATCAAAACCACAATGAGATATCATCTCATACCAGTTAGAATGGTGATCATTAAAAAGTCTGGTAATAACAGATGTTGGCAAGGATGTGGAGAAATAGGAATGCTTTTACACTGTTGGTGGGACTGTAAATTAGTTCAACCATTGTGGAAGACAGTGTGGCAATTCCTCAAGGATCTAGAGCCAGAAATACCATTTGACCCAGCAATCCCATTACTGGATATATACCCAAAGGATTATAAATCATTCTACTATAAAGACACATGCACACGTATGTTTATTGCAGCACTATTTACAATAGCAAAAACTTGAAACTAACCCAAATGCCCATCAATGATAGACTGGATAAAGAAAATGTGGCACATATACACCATGGAATACTATGCAGCCATACAAAAGAATGAGTTCATGTCCTTTGCATGTCATGGATAAAGCTGGAAACCATCATCCTCAGCAAACTAACACAGAAACAGAAAACCAAACACCACATGTTCTCACTCATAAGTGGGAGTTGAACAATGAGAACACACAGACACAGGGAGGGAAACATTACACACCAGAGCTTGTTGGCAAGTGGAGGGAAAGGGGAGGGACAGCATTAGGACTAATACCCAATGCAGTGGGACTTAAAACCTAGATGACAGAATGATAGGTGCAGCAAACCACAATGGCACATGTACACCTATGTAACAAACCTGCACATTGAGCACATGTATCCCAGAGCTTTAAGTAAAATAATAATAAAAAAAAGAATCAACAAAACCTCTGATAAATATGGGATTATATAAAGACACCAAATCTGTGACTCATGAGAGAGAGAGAGAGAGGAAGAAACTTGGAAAACATATTTCAGGATATCATCCATGAAAATTTCGCCAATCTTGCTAAGGAAGCCAACATTCAAATTCAGGAAATGCAGAGAACCTCTGCAAAATACTACATAAGAAGCCCATCCTCAAAACACACAATCATGAGATTCTCCAAGGTTGAAATGAATTAAAAAACATTAAAAACAACTACAGAGAAGGGACAGATCACTTACAAAGGGAATCACTTACAAAGGGAATCCCATCAGGCTAACAACAGACCTTTCAGCAGAAACCCTACAAGCCAGAAGAGATTATGGGGTGGGAGAGTATATTCAGCATCCTCAAAGAAAAGAATTTTCAACCAAGAATTTCAAATCTAGCCACATTCAGCTTCATAAGTGAAGGACAATTAAGATCCTTTCAGACAAACAAATGCTAAGGGACTGAATTACCACCAGACTTGCCTTACAAGAGATCCTGAAAGGAATGCTATATATGGAAAGGAAATACTTACTGACCACTTCAAAAACACTTAGGTACATAGACCAGTGACATTATAAAGCAATCACAAAAACAAATCTTCATAATAACTAACAACATGATGACAGTATATAAATACTAATTTTCAATGTAAATAGGCTAAATGCCTCAAATAAAGACACAGAGTGGTAAGCTGGATAAAGAAGCAAAGCCCAATTGTATGCTATCTTCAAGAGACCCATCTCACATGCAGTGACACACATAGGCTCACAGTAAATGGATGAAGAAAAATCTACCAAGCAAACAGAAAACAGAAAAAAGCAAAGGTTGCTATTCTAATTTCAGATGAAACAGATTTTAAACCAAAAAAATTTAAACAGAAGCAGGGCATTACATAATGGTAAAGGGCTCAGTTCATCAAGAAGGTCTAACTATCCTAAATATATATGCACCCAACACAGGAGCACCCAGATTCATAAAGCAAATTCTTGGACACCTATGAAGAGCTTAAATAACCACATAATAATTGTGAGAGACAATACTGACAGTATTAACCAGATCATTAAGGCAGAAAACTAACAAAGATATTTCTGACCTGAGCACTACACTTGACCAAATGGACCTAACAGACAACTACAGAACTCTCCACCCGAAAAAAAAGAATATACATTCTTCTCATTTGCACATAGCATATACTCTAAAATTGACCATAAAAAAGGGCATAAAACAATCCTCAGCAAATTTAAAAAAAAAAGAAAAATATTATACCAACTACACTCTTGGACCACAGTGCAATAAAAATAGGACTCAATGCTGAGAAAATCACTGGAAACCATACAGTTACATGGAAATTAAACAACCTGCTTCTGTATGACTTCTGGCTAAATAATGAAGGTAAGACAGAGATCAAGAAATTCTTTGAAACTAATGAGAACATAGATACGACATACAAGAATCTCTGGGACACAGTTAAAGCAGTGTTAGTAGGAAAGTTTATAGCACTAAATGCCCACATCAAGAATTAGAAAGGTCTCAAATTAACAACCTAACATTACAACTAGAGTAACTAGAGAGACAAAAGAAAACCAACCCAAACTCTAGCAGACGAAAAAAAAGAAAACCAAAATCAGAGGTGGACTGAAAGAAACTGAGATGCAAAAGATCAACAAATCCAGGAGTTTTTGAAAGAATTAATAAGATATATAGACTGCTAGATAGACTAATAAAAAAGAGAGAGAAGACTCAAATAAACACAATCAGAAATGACAAAGGGAATGTTACCATAGAAACAGAAAAAACTCTCAGAGACTATTACAAAAGTTTCTATGCACACAAGCTAGAAAACCTAGAAGAAGGAGATAAATTCCTGGAAATACACAACCTCCCAAGATTGAGCAAGGAAGAAATTGAATCACTGAACACACCAATAATAACCAACATTGAGTCAGTAGTAAAAAGCCCACCAACTTAAAAAAAAAAAAAAAAAAAAAACCCAGGACCAGAAGGATTCACAGCCAAATTCTACCAGATGAATAAAGAAGAGCTGGTACCTTTCCTACTAAAACCATCACAAAAACATTGATGAGGAAGGATTTCTCCCTAACTCATCTTATGAGGCCGGCATCATCTCAATATCAAAACCTGGCAGAGACACAACAAAAAAGAAAACTTCAGGCCAATATCCTTGATGAATATAGACATAAAAACCCTTTACAAAATAATAGCAAACCAAATTCAGCAGCACATCAAAAAGCGAATCCACCACAATCGAGGTTTATCCCTGGGATGCAAGGTTGGTTAAACATACACAATCAATAAATGTGATTCACTATGTAAACAGAACAAAAAACAAAAGCCACATGATCATCTCAATAGACGCAGAAAAGCTTTTCTTAAAATTCAATATACCTTTATATTAAAAACCCTCAATAAACTAGGAATTGAAGAAACATACTTGAAAATATTAAGAGCCATCTATGAAAAACCTACTGCCAACATAATACTGAATACGCAAATGCTAGAAGCACTCTCCTTCAAACTAGTTTGTAGATGATATGATTTTATATCTAGAAAACACTGTAGTCTCTACCAAAGCTCCTTGATCTAATAAACAACTTTAGCAAAGTTTCAGGATACAAAATTAATATACAAAAATCTGTAGCATTCCTGCTGAGTGTGGTGGCTTATGCCTGTAATCCCAGCATTTTGGGTGGCTGAGGAAGGTGAGTTGCTTGAGCCCAGGATTTTGAGACCAGCGTGGGCAAAATGACAAAACTCTGTCTCTACAAAAAAATACAAAAATTAGCCAGATGTGGCAGTTCATGTCTGTAGTCCTAGCTCCTCAGGATGCTGAGGTGGAAGGATTTATTGAACCCAAGAGTTTGAGGCTACAGTGACCTGTAATCATGCCAGTCCACTCCAGCCTAACAGAGCAAGACCGTCTCTCAAAAAAATAAAATAAAATAAAATAAAAAATCAGTAGCATTCCCATACACCAATAACATCCAAACTGAGAGCAAACTCAAGAATGTAATCTCATTTATCATAGCCACAAAAAGAATAAAATACCTACTAACACAGATTACCAAGGAGGCAAAAGACCTCTGCAATGAGAATTCTAAAACGTTGCTCAAAGAAATCAGAGAAGACACAAATGAATAGAAAAACATTTCATGCTCATGGATATGAAGAATCAATATTGTTAAAATGGATATACTGCCCAAAGCAATTGATAGATTCAATGCTATTCTTATCAAACTGCCGAAATTCTTCACAGAATTAGAAAAAAACTACCTTAAAATTCATATGGAATCAAGAAAGAGCCCGAATAGCCAAGCCAATCCTAAGCAAAGAGAACAAAGCTGGAGGTATCACAGTACTCAACTTCAAACTATTCTACAGTGATACGGTAACCAAAACAGTATGGTGCTGGTACAAAAACAGACACACAGACCAAAACAAAACAAAACAAAACAAAACAAAAAAAGCAGAACAGAGATCCCAGAAGTAATGCTGCATATCCATCTGATCTTCAACAAATCTACAAACACAAGCAATGGGGAAAGGACTCCCTATTCAATAAATTGTGCTGGGATAATGGGCTAGCTATATGTAGAAGATTGAAACTGACCCCCTTCCTTACATCATATACATAAATCAACTCAAGATAAATTAAAGATTTAAATGTAAAATCTCCTAGACTAAATACCCTGGAAGATAACCTAGGAAATACTATTCTAGATTATAGGAACTGGCAGAGGTTTACAATGAAGATGCCAAAAGCAATTGCAACAAAAACAAAAATTCAACAAATGGGATGTAATTAAACTAAGAGCTTCTTCACAGCAAATAAACTATCAATGGAGTAAACAGACAACCTACAAACTGGGAGAAAACATTTGCAAACTGTGCATCTGACAAGGGTCTAATATCCAGCATCTATAACAGATTTAAACAAACCAACAAGCAAAAAACGAACAACTCCATTCAAACATGGACAAAAGACACGAACAGACACTTTTCAAAGAAGACATACATGTGGCCAAGAAGCATATGAAAAAAATGCTCAACATCACTAATCATCAGATAAATGCAAATCAAAACCACAATGAGATGCCATTTTACAACAGTCAGAATGTCCATTACTAACAAATCAAAAAATAACAGATGCTGGGAAAGTTATAGAGAAAAGGGAATGCTTATACACCGTTGGTGGGAATTTAAATTAGTTCAACCACTATGGAAAGCAGTTTGGCAATTTCTCAAGGAATTTAAAACATTATTACCATTTTACTCAGCAATCCCATGTTGGGTATGTATCCAAAGGAATATAAATTGTTTTGTCACAAAGACACATGTGCACACATCTTCATTGTAGCACTATTCATGATAGCAAAGACATGGAATCAACCTAAATGCCCATCAATGGTAGACCAGATAAAGAAAATGTAGTACATATGCACTATGGAATACTATGCAGCCTTAAAAAAAATGAGACCATGTCCTTTGCAGCAGCATGAATGGAGATGGAGGCCATTATCTTAGGAGAATTCACACAGGAACAGAAAGCCAAATACCACATATTCTCACTTATAAATGGGAGCTAAACATTGAGTATATATGGACAGAAAGAAGGGAACAACATACTGAGGCCTACTTGAGGGTGGAGAGTGGGAGAAGGGTGAGTGCATTAGTTCATTTTTTCATGCTGCTGATAAAGACATACCTGAGACTGGGAAGAAAAAGAGGTTTTAATGGACTCGCAGTTCCACGTGGCTGGGGAGGCCTCACAATAATGGCAGAAGGGAAGGAGGAGCAAGTCACATCTTAGATGGATGGCAGCAGGCAAAAAGTGAGCTTGTGCACAGAAACTCCCCATTAGAATAATCATGATATCTCGTGAGACTTATTCACCATCAAGAGAACAGCATGGGAAAGACACCCCTGCTCCAGTTATTCAATTACCTCCCACTGGGTCCCTCCCACAACATGCGGGAATACAAGATGAGATTTGGGTGGGGACACAGCCAAACCATATCAGTGAGGATCAAAAAACTACCTATGAGGTACTAGGCTTATTATCTGGGTGATGAAATAATCTTTACACCAAACCTCTATCACATGCAAATTACCTGTATAATAAACCTGCACATTTACTCCTAAATCTAAAATAGAAATTAAAAAAATAAAATAACAAAGATAAAATATGGATATTATATACCTAACAAGGTAGTAGGAAAATAAAAATCTGTACCTTTATAAACAGCGTCCTTAAGAAAATTTAGATCAGGATGAAGTGCTCAGTTTAATCATCTTAAGTGAATCAACCTTCCTTCATCTACTTCAATTAGAGAGAAATGGAGAAAGGTAAAATAAATGTAGATTAGTCAACATCGCCAAGGCCCAAGGTTGTTTTTCTGGGTATGCAAAGTCTATGTCTACAAGAAGTTTACATCTTGATGGGTAAATGAGGCCTGAAAATGAAGTCAAGAATACAAATAAGAGTCTTTTTATAAATGCACTTGAAATAAAGACCTAGAAAATCCAAATATTATAGAAAAATTTTAGAGAAAAACCAAAAATATTCAGACTGCCAATTAATTTAAACTCTATCCTGAATAACTAAATTCAAATAACCTTTTGCTTTAATTACAGATTTTTAATCTTATTTTTTGAAAAAAATTCAAAATATTCTTGATTGCTTAGAATAATGAACTGATTTATGAATATGAAATTTAAAAGTAAGTAACAATATTGAGAAGATTGGGTCAACGTGGGAGGCGTAGTATTTGTATTTATCTCTATTCCCATTCCAAATTTTCTAACATGACAGGAAAAATTTAAAAATAAATAATAGTTCTGAAAAACAAGAAAAGATGCCCTAAGGGCAAGAAGTGTTGAACATTTTAGAAGATAGAAAGCAAAAGCCCTGGATTAACACAGAATAAACAACATAGAACACCACTCTTTTAAAATAATGCAAGAGAAAGTAGCTGGTGAGGAATGATGTAGTATACAAATACTCCACAGATAATACTTATATGAACTGAAAAAATAAAAAAATAATTATTTAAATATGCCATAAAGCATTCAAAAGCTGACAGAAGCAGTTAAATAATTCAATATTTTAAAAAAATTACCTGAAGAAGTATAAATTTTGGCTTTGTCAAATCTTCTGGCCTGAGGGCACAACCTAATCTCCACAGCTACAGCAAATGATGTAGGGAAAAACCATAGGCAGACTGGTAAGGTGCCAGATCCCGGAGTTCAGTGCAAGAAAAGCAGCTAGAAATTTAAAGGAGAATCCTGACGGTAAGGGAAGCATACATTGTCCAAATACTAGGCTGACATTATGGTAAAAAACACAGGAAGGGAAGGCACCAAAGAGAAATCTCCTGTTAAAAGATAAAACCATACAGAATCTGAGTGTAACACTTATCTGAGTATATTTTCAAATTGTGCACAACTTGACCACAGAAAGCTTAATGTGTCAGAGTACAGAGCCCAAAAGTCATAGAGCAGCTGGAAATTATAGAGAAATACACATAATTAGCTAGATGAGCTCAACAGTAGATAATGAAAGAAAGATAACGAAAAACACTCTGTGAGCTTAAAATAAATCAAAATAATTTCCCCACTCTGAAGAACAGAGAAAAAAAATAACAGACCCTATTAATTAACATGCATGGAAGTAAAATTATAGAAAGAAAAGAGAGAGGCAAATAAGTAGTAGGAGAAATATTTTTAGAACATTAACTAAAAATTTACAAATTTGGTAGAATATAATAATTTACAGATTCAAAAAGGTCAACAAATCCCAGTCAAGATAAATAAAAAGAAATCTCGCCGGGCGCAGTGGCTCACACCTGCAATCCCAGCACTTTGGTAGGCCGAGACAGGCGGATCATGAGGTCAGTAGATCGAGACCATCCTGGTTAACACAGTGAAACCCCGTCTCTACTAAAAATACAAAAAATTAGCCGAGCGTGGTGGCGGGTGCCTGTAGTCCCAGCTACTTGGGAGGCTGAGTCAGGAGAATCGCTTGAACCCAGGAAACGGAGATTGCAGCGAGCGGAGATCGTGCCACTGCACTCCAACCTGGGCAACAGGGTGAGACTCTGTCTCAAAAAAAAAAAAAAAAAAAAAAATAATAATAATAATAATAATAAATAAAAAGAAATCTCCTGGCCATATCAGGGACAAACTGCTATAAACCAAAGGTAAAGAGACAATCTTGAAATAAACCAAAACAAAATATTTCAAGGGGCTTGGAGAAAAGGAATAGACGACAAAATTTAATGGCTGACTTCTCATGAGAAATGTGGAAGCCAGATGCCATTGGAATAATATGTTGAAAACATTGAAGGATAAAAAATTATATGCACACTTTTAGATAAACAAAAAATGAGAGAAACTATCAGGGATAATAGTGATAGATAGACAGATAGTTAAAATGCAGATATATGTATATGCATATATGCTGCATATATAGATATGCACTATAAGAAATGCTAAGAGAAGTCCTCAATATGAAAGTGAATGACACTAAATGACAACTCAGATCTATAGAGAAAAATAAAGAGTATTAGAAATGTTAAAATTATAAATAAATATAAAACTTTTTCTCTGTATTTTTAAAGTTATATAACTATATAAACAAAAATTATACATTTAATGTAATTATTGATATGATTAAATTTTTGGCTGCTATTTTACTATTCGTTTTTTAATTTTCTCATTTAGTATTCTTTTTCTCTTCATCTTTTTTTGCCTTGTTTTGTATATTAATCTATTGCATTTAAAAAGCTATTTTAATACCTTCACTTGCTTTCTATTTCTATCTCTGCATGTAGTGGTTAAACCAGAAATTATATATGTAGCTTATACCTAGCCAATCTATTTGTGGATAATTTTAAGTCACTTCTGGTAAAATGTAGGATCATTGTATCAGCATACATTTCCATTGTATTCCCCTTCTTAAGTCTATTGTCATGAATATTATGTCTGTTTACCCTATAAAGCAATAAATAAAATGTAATAATTTTTCATTTTTATGGTTGTAAAACTTACAAGGCTGGGATTGTCATGCTAACACCACCAGGCAAGCACAATATAAAAAAGAAAAATACAGGCCAATATTCCTGATGAAAATATAGGCAAAAATTTTCAACAAAATACTAGCAAACTGAATTCAACAGCACATTAAAAGGATCATACACTATGTCATGTGAGATTTATCCCTGGAATGTAAAGTGTAAAGGTGATTCAACATATACAAATAAATAAATATAAAACACCACATTAAGAGAAGAAAGAATAAAAATCACATGATCATCTCAACAGGTGCAGAAAAAGCATTTACAAAATTCAACCCTCCTTTATAATAAAAACTATCCACAAATTAGCCAAAACAATGAAAGCCATATATCACAAGCCCACCTCTAACATCATGCTCAATGATGGAATGTTGAAAGCTTTTCCTGTAAGGTTAGGAACAAGACAATAATGCACATGCTCACCACTTCTATTCAACATACAACTGCAAGTGCTAGCCAGAGCAATTAGGCAAGGGAATAAAATGAAAGACATCTGCATTGAAAAAAAAGAGGAAAAATTGTCACTGTTTGCAGATGACATCATCTTATATAGAGAAAGTCCTAAAGGGTCCACACACACACATACACACACACAAAACTATTAGAACTAATAAACAAATTCAGTAAAGTTTCAGGACACAAAATTAACATACAAATATTAGTTGCAATTCTATACACTAAGGATAAATTATCCAAAACAGAAATCAAGAAACAATACCATTTATGATAGTATCAAGAAGAATAAATACTTAGGAATAAATTTAAACCAAGAATGTAAAAGATCTAGACTACAAAGTATAAAAATTCATGAAAGAAATTGAAGAAGGCACAAATAAATAGAAAAATATCCTATGTTCATGGATCTAGAAGAATCAATATTGTAAAATGTGCAAACTACCCAAAGCAACCTACAAATTCAATTCAATCCCTATCAAAATTCTAATGACATATGTTACAAAGATAGAAAACAATCCTAAAATTTGTATAAAACCAGAAAAGACCCTGAATAGCTAAAGCAATCTTGAACAAGAACAAAGCTGGGGGCATCACACTTTCTAATGTTAAATCTTATTATAAAGTTATAGTAATCAAAACAGCATAGTACTGGCACAAAAACAGACATATAGACCAATGGAGCAGAATAAAAAGCTTAAAAATAAACTACACATATGTAGGCAACTAATTTTTGACAAAGGTATTAAGAATACACAACGGGGAAATGATAGTCTCTTCAACAAATGATGTTGGGAAAACTGGATAGCCACATACAGAATAATAATTTTGGACCCTTATGTCACACCATATACAAAAATCAACTCAAAATGGATAAAACACTTAAAGATAAGACCTGAAACTGTAAAACTACTCAAAGAAAACTAAGAGAAAAGCTTCATGACATTAGTCTGGGCAACGATTTTTTGGATCAAAAAGCAAAAGCAAAATAAACAAATAAGACTACATCAAACTAAAAAGTTTTGGCACAGCAAAAGTAACAGTTGACAAATTGAAAAGGCGGCCCACAGAATTGGAGAAGATATTTGCAAACCATATATTTGGTAAAGGGTTAATATCAAAAATATACAAGGAACTCATACAATTCAATAGCAAAACAAAAAAAGCAAATAATCCAATTTTTTTAATGAGCAAAAGACCTGAATAGACATCTCTCCAAAGAAGACATACAAATGGCCAAAAAGTACATTAAAGAAAATGTTCAACATCACTAATTATCAGGGCAATGCAAATCAAAATCACAATAGATTATCATTTCACAACTGTTAGGATAACTGATCAAAAAGTCAAAAGATAACAAGTGTTGGCAAGGATGTGGATAAAAGGAAACCTTACACCTTGCTGGCTGGACTAAAAGTTGGTACAGGCTTTATGAAAAGTATTTTGGATATTACAAAAAAAAAAAATAGAACCACCACATGATCTAGCAATCTCACTTCTGGTTATTTATCCAAAAGAGAAGAAATCAGGATCTCACAAAGATATTAACACATCTATGTTTATTGTAGCACCATTTACAACAGCTAAGATTTAGAAACAACCCTGTTATAGAATATTAGTCAACTTTAAAAAAACAGAAGGAAATTCTGTAATATGTGACAGCATGGATGAATCTTGAGGACATTATGCTAAGTAAAATAAGCCAGTCATAGAACAATACTGAATGATTGCACTGATATGAGATATGCAAAATAGTCAAATTCATAAAATCAAAGAGCAGAATGGTAGTTTCCAGGGGCTGAGAGGAGGTGGAAATCAAAAGTTACTAATCAACAGAGTTAGTCAAGCAAGATGAATAAGCTCTAGAGATCTGCTGTAACATATTGCACCCATAGTCAACAATAATGTATTAGACACTTAAAAATTTGTTAAGAGGGTAGAGCCCAAGTTAAGTATTCTAACCACAACAAAATAAAATAAAATAGAAAGGAATCAAGTACTGGTATACACAACAACATGGATATGTCTCAAAAGTATTAAGCTAAGTGAAAAAAAAGGCAGGCACAAAGACTCCATACTGTATAATTCCATTCATATGAATTTCTAGAAAAAGCAAATCTACAGTGACATAAAGCATATAGGTGGTTGCCAGGGGCAGGATGTGGGGGGAGGTCACTGACTGCAAAGAAACACAGAGTGTTAAAACTAAGGGTGGTAAAACTAGCCTATATCATGATTGTGGTGGAGGTTACGTAACTGTACACATTTATCAAAACTCGTTAAATTGTACATTTTGAATTGGCAAATTTTAATGTGTATAAATTAAACCCCAATAAAAAAATGGCAGATATAAAAAGGAAAGGGAGAATTCACAATTTTTTAAATGCAACAAAAATTAATAACAAGCTAAAATAATTAAATTAAATATCAAAGACCAAAATGTGGTAACATGTGAAGACTTAGATTCAATAGTTGAGTCAGGCCATCTAGCAAAGATCTAGCTCTATTTCCTGTTAAACAATAATCGAAAAAAGGAAATCAAAGGGTATAGAATGAGTTTTCTATTCCCCTTCCTTAATCGGAGCCAAAACTTTGGTAGGTATGTTCGCCAGGGCTGGGATTGAGGCAGGGTGTGGTGGAACCAGGCCAGGGATTCTCTTTTATGGTTATAGTGACAGGGATAAAGTCAGAATTAAACTTTTGGACAAGAATTCATCAGTTTCATACACTGCATTGAACCAGGGACTGGGACAGAGAGGTCTTGGCCATGAACTTCCACAAGCATTTTACAGAGACTCATCAGGGATGCGGAGGATATGACACCCTAGCTGGGGATTTTCCTGGCATGTTTAGTTAGGAACTTTACCAGTGTAGTATATTATCTGGGGCCAGAGATAAGGAGGAATCCCATGTGGTTGAGGCCCATAGTGTGTGTCAGGGCTTGCATGTTTCCAGACTGGTTACATACAGGGGATTAAGCAAATTAGTAAATATATTATGATGGCGAAGAGCCAGATTTCTCACTGTTGGAGAAGGGATTTATAAATATGAAAAGAGAGAAGGCTAAATATGTTATGTTAGATTGGAATTGGAAGTATCAGTTTAAACTCAAGTTTTTTTTTAAAAAAGACGTATGATAGATAGACATACATAGATGACAGATAGATGTTTGTATGCATGCATGTATGTATGTCATAAAAATATACATATATTTCCTGGGTTGATTTTCTGAGAGATCCTAGAAGTAATAATGCAATAATGAACCATAACAATGAACACACCCAGTGCACAGATTGTGGTTTGTGAATACCGCTCCCCAATAAAAAGAACTAGGGCTCCTTAAAGAACTGGTTGTTTCAAGGCTTGGGCAGAAAAAGTCTAAGATGATCCTTGAACATCTCGGCTTCTCAGAAAATAAGTGCTAGAAAGAGGAGGAGGACGTGTCAAGAAGACATGGGAGTATCTTTGAAAAAATTTCCACTGGTCAAACATGAGACAATTAGAGCATCAAAATAAATAACAATCATAAAATATAAGTCAGTGAATAAAATCAATATCCTTGAGTTCATATTGATATAAATAGATAATTATTAAATAAATAAATGGGAGAGATAGGAAAGGCCTTCCTTACAGTCAATTATCGACAAATAAATGTAGAAGGAACAACAGTATAAGAAAATAGCTATTTGGCAACTATGAAAAAATTGTATCAGAAAAGCATCATCAATGGATGTTAATACTAACAGGTGACAGTCTAATGAGAAATAAAATACTTATACAATTTCAAAACTATCTCCATAAATACTTAATGATTATTTTTTAATAAGTATGAAATACTTGACAATGGAGAAGCCTGGCAGACAACACTTTAATCAAGTGATCAAAGTGTAGCTACCAAACACGGGAAAATTGTAAGAGGGTACCTGTTGTTACAAACAGAAAATGATACAACATTATTTCTGTTGCATTCCTGCCAAATATACATAACCTAAATTTAGTTATGTGGAAACCTCAGACCATCCCCAACTGAGGGATGTTCCACAAAGCCACTGGCTCATACTCTTCAAAATTATCAAGATCATGAAAGACAAGAGAAGACTGAGAAATTTTGCAGACTGAAGGATATTTAAGAGACATGACATTTAATACAGCAAATGATTCTCTGTCGAATCCTGGACCTTTTAAAGATATAATTTGAATAAAAGGTGAAATTTGAATGGTGACTGTGGATTACACGGTGGATCTATCAATGGTAATACCTGAATTTTGATGGTTGTACTGTTGTTATACAGGAAAATGCCCTTGTTTTAAGGAAATACACACTGAAATATCAAGCTTCAATATCCGCAATGATTTCAAATGGTTAAAAAATAAATATATTTATACAATAGAGAAAGAATGAAGCAAATATGATAAAACGTTAATATTGGAGAAGCTGGGTAAAGAGTATGTGGGGATTAGTTGTTTTATTCTTGTGACTTTTCTATAAGTATAAAATAATTCTCAAATACAATATTTTTAAAAGTGCAGTTTGTGTTGAATGTATTGGAAAATGTTTTTAAAAAGCTTACTAGCCAAACAAATGAAAAGACAATAAAAAAGAATAGAAGTCTCATATAAAATTACCATGGTTACCAGAATGGTTTTATTCTTCACATTTTTTGACATCAGAAACTCATATTCATGTGTGCAAAACTGAAGGATGCAAATTACTACAGAGCATAAAGTGAGGAACACTGAGCTAAAAACTAGGAGTCCCGAGGCTTAAATCTCAGATCTCCAGCAGAATGGCCTCAGGACTGTCATTTAACTTTCCTGAGCCTCAAGATAACTTAGCTATTGAGTTATTAAATCAAGTCCCTTTAATTTATAAAGCTCTAGGATTCAAATTTTCCCAAATAATAGTTTAAATCAAATCACCATTACCTTAAATATTGACTAAGTATTTAGCTATTACAAATCAATAATCAAAGCCTGCTGGGATTTGATGATTTTAGGATGATTGTAAAGTTTATTTGACAACATGGCAAAAAATCTAAAACTACTTCCATATGTAAATGTATATATTTGGTTGTTTTAGAGTAAGAATTCTGTCTCATTTCTCAACACAAGGTGGGAGAATCATGCCCTCAGTTGAATTCCAACGATTTCCTGAATCAGGTCTCTGAAGAAGTGATTAATGAACTGGTCACATTTTTCTTCTTAACCCTTTGATGTACCCTGTGCTCACTTAGCATAGCTGATTAGGCGATCATACTAACAAGCTCATGGAATCATCATTCAAATGACAGTAAACTCCCACCCTTGCCAACCATCTGACATATGCTTGTCATTGGTAACAAGGTCAATTGAATGATTGCATGCAGATATATCACTGCAAATTCATCACCAATAGGAAAATAATTCACAAAGCACATCCAATTCACAATGGGCTAGCAACACCATTTTGCTGTATGAACATAGGATATCAAATTAGGTTTCTGGTGCTCTCAGCATATGATATTAATCTCAAAATCCTCCTCTTAGATTTGAGACTCTGCTAAAATTTTACACCCCTAGAAGCATCACTGTGCCCTTCAGTGATTAATACCTCCTTACGTTTGTGACTCTTTTAAGAAGAATTGGGAAGCAGAAAACCTAAAACATATTTATTTCTAGCTCTGCAAAATTTGTACACCTAGAAGAAGGCACTCACCTTTTCAATTGTCCCCAAATGATTGCATCCACAGTACAATACACACAAAGATGGTGATGTGAAATGAATACCACTCTAATGGATCATGATAGTAATATTTTCATCAGGTTTTTATAAATACAGTAATTTACACAAAGCTAAATTTTTAAATCAGATGTTGATGTATTCAAATATATATTTTAATACTTATTAGCCCAGGGAATGATGAAGAAACAAACATTTGGTACAACATTCACCCTGAAGCTTCAAATAGTGATGTCTTGTAATTGCTCTCTTCTAAATGTGACCTCTCATGTGAGATAACATCGGGAATCAGAAGATAATATATTTACAACAAAGCAGTTTCATAATACCCTAAATAGTATGGCAATGGCAGATCTAAAGCACAAACTTTTACACAGAAGAAATGCACTTCTAAAAGAAGTAAGGCTCTGGAAACAGGTAGAACCCTCAGATGAACAGAGGATGGCTCTGCGATTGGTTATATGAGATATAGTTCAAGTGTGTTTTAGCTCTCACTCCCACTATGCCAGAAAAAAAGCAAAGAGATTAGTATATAAGAAAGATCTTATTCTGCCTGAATATTACATTAACCTGTGAGCACTACTGCTCCCTTGGTCAGCTTTTTCAGAGCCTGCTGGCACTGCAGCACTGCTGACCTGGTAGGTCTGATTATGAATGATCAATGTGCCTATTTGCAGTAGAACTCTTTGCACAGATCTGGACCCTCAGCCCTTATTCACTCATGCAGATAATAACAGCAGTTCAAGGCACTTGCCCATAAATCCAAGCTTCATTAAACAAGGGGAATGTCACCAAAAGTCCCTTTAACTGTCTTTATGCTGCTAGGCAGGGAAAAATTGGAAATTCTGAGGAAGTAGAATTTACAGTGTTAATAAAATAAGGATTTGTATATCCCTATACCCTATTTTGCACATCTTTCTTGAGCTTCTTGTGTTAAAATTCACCACTTCAGTGGTGAGCAGAGTGAGAAATGTGAACAAAGGATATTGTATGCCTGAGGTCAGATTCTGCTTCAGATAAAATATTTCAATGGAATTTTTCAGGTCTGTGACAGGGAATGGGATGTTGCCACTCCTCCTCATTCATTATAGACACAACTAGTGTCAGGCTGGTGTCTCAAAGGGCTGGAGGTTGGAAAGAATGGTGGGGGAGGCACCAGAAGAGTTCTGTGCAAACTTGAAAAGAGGGTCCCTCTGTGGTGCATCAAGGCATGAAGTCTGCCTACTCTCCAGTCTTAAAAGGGTGTGAAGATTTGGTTACTCATTTTCTCAGGCAAAACATGTTAACAAGTTGCTGGTGTTTGAGGAAAATGTGAGTTGCAGATTATCTAATGAAGGATAGTCCTCTTAAAACACAGTGCCCCATGCACCACCTCCTTAGGGTCCTCACACAGACTCAGCACTCCACTCCATATCCCTGGCATCACTCCTATATTAACCTACAATGTATAAGTTTTCCTAGCTAATTAGAACAACCATTCACTTTCTTTTATAATCCCCTTCCTTAAAATTAGACGTTAAGGAAATCCTTAATTTTTTTGCCTGAATAACCCTGCTACCACTGAAAACTCATAGGGAAATAGAGTTTCAAATGATAAAATAATTCAAGTCAAAGCTTGCGTTTCTTGAAGATAACTAGCTGGTCATTTCTGAGTAATAATTGGTATTTGCACCTCAACAATTTGTAGTGCCTTAGGCAATACCAATTCAAGAAAAATAAGAACAATGGACAAATGAGAAATTACCCTGCACAATGAATAATCACACAAAATTTAGATAAATTAACCCGGAATAAAGCAATTTTCTACAGAGAAATATGTTTTTCCTGCTTTCATCTATAAAGATAAGGTCCAAGATACACATATATAACCACATAAAATTCACCACTAAATGCTAAGAAAATGGGCTCCCAGTTTTTCTTGCCCATTCAGAAATTGTTTAGTGGGCAAACTGCATAAAGTAGTGGTCTGCAAAGCATCCCTATTTACAACAGATAGCTTTTCCTCTGAACCTCTCTCAAACCTTAAAACTCTACGCATCCATCTGTTCATGCAATGCCCAACACTTGTTTATGCCCCGCACTCACCCTGCAACAATGTTGTATGGGAAAGGAGATGTGGAAAAGATTCAAAAGAGTGTGTGGCACTAGGATGGGACATCACTGGTAATTAAATAAAACAGACAGAAACATTATTTCTAAGATACCCTCCTGGAAAATGTCATGCAAAGAATAAATGTAGATTTGGTCTGTCTTTGTCTAAAGGTCAGAAACAGGATTAGTGATAGAAGTTGCAAGGTAGTAGATTTTGTCTCACCATAAAAAAAAGAACTTTTTAATCATAAAAAGTGCCAAACTGTGGCTTCCTCAGAAGGTAAATGTGCTTCCTATGACTATGAGGGATGCTTTAGGAGAAGACATTACTGAAATAAGTGGGAGATTATTCTTGGATTATTTGAAAAAACATTTCTAACTTTAAGAATTCTATAATTCTACGATGAGATGGGAGCTGACATTTTGCAAAGTGCACAAATAAGAAACTTAATTAGCATATATTTATTTCTCTATTGTCATCTTCAAGGGAGGCTTGAGTCCTGTTTGGCAATTTCACTAGGACATAAGTCTCTCTTCTAAACTGTGCATTGACATGAGCTTTAGTTTTGTTTAAAGAAACTTCTTTAAAAATTAAGAAATGACAGTGTGCTATTCTGCAAAGTAATTCCATTTGTGGAAACTCTGTGGTATTAAGATGGTTAGGTTTAAAATTAAGAGTTTCTTGCCTATTTGGAACAGGTCAGTCATCTCAATTCAGTTTGAATAAGCAGCCCATTGTTCCCATTTTAAAGCTCAGGGATAAGATATTAATAATATGTCCTCTTTCCTCCCACACTCTGCGCCAAGGCCCAAGAAGCTTCTGCTCAATGCTATCCATTCAAAGTGAAAGATTGGCTGAGCTATTCAAAGCTCCCTCTCTGGCTCTTAGGGCTTTGTGCTATTGTTCGGCTGTATAATACTTTGGTGGATTCTGTGGTTCAATCTGTTCAGATATACCTCCCACCAGCTGGAATACATGTCTTTAGAACTACCGTCTCCTTTCTTTTTTTTTTTTTTTCCATCTCCTTTCCATTATTTTTAATCTAGGCAGTTCAGGGTTTGTTCTGTTTTACTTTGGACTTTGTATTCTATCTTTGCTTTCCCCGTATTGGAATTTTCTTCAGTATATTTCTACCAGAATATAAATGCCTATGGATGAAATTGTTCATATATATACGTAGGAACTATGTATGTCTTAGTCTTTTTGCATTTTTCACAGCACTTGGCATAATGGCTTGAACACAATAGATGTTCAACCAGATTTATAAAATTCAATTAGCTGTTTTTTCTACCCAAGTGTTACCTAGAAAAGTAACACAAGGCCAAAATGATGACATTTACAAAATATCATGTACTAAAAAATGTTGTTATTCTTCATCCATTTCAACAGTGATTGAACAATTTACTACTGACATCTGTTAACACATTGAAAGTACCTGATCATCTGCCATTTGAAATCAATAATCTTGGTTTTTCAGAATGTAAGAAGAAAGAAGAAAAAAGCCTGACCAAAAGAGTAAGACTGATTTTTGAGTAACTTCATGATTTTCTTATATTGGCACTCTTTCGGGTCTGCTATATGAGTACCATAGGGGTTACAGGAGAAACATAGAAGAAAAAGGCCCTTTTCTCTTCCTCAGAGAGTTGTGTAGATATTGGCTACCTCTAGTATTGCAGTCTGGATCTCTGCAGTGGTGGAATTTGCCCACTGGGTAATAGATGATAATTATGTATTGAGGACATTTATTACTACACAATTTTCCACCTTGAGCAGGAAATGTCCACTCTATTCCCTAGGAAACAAAGCATGGAAGGATTACTTCAGCCTCTCCCCCAGCTACCTCCTTTCATGGGAAGAGTGTCTTACCTAATTGATGAATTTTGGAGAAGTAATTGAGTACATCTGGCTCAGCATCTTCTAGGTCCATCTCTTTAAGGGCCAGCTTGACTGTAGTGTGCAAGCTTTTGGGCCTCTTCTCTCATGTGATAGTTCAGCAGGTCTACTCCTATTCCTTCAAGGGGAAGCCGGCAGCTCTGGGAGATAGGAAAGGTTCATATTAAGTGATATATTAGCAAGCCCTCTCTGGACATAAATTTAAAGCGATATTCACTAATTCAAGCTGTTGTGAGTAATAAGGATTTCTATTTGTCTGATCCCTATATCCTATCTCTCAGTTGTTTCAAAATTTGCAAGGAGAAAGAGATGAAAGGAATAGAGAAACTTTCCATTTCTAAGATCATATATTAAAGAACTGTAATATGAGCAGTTCTATAAAATTATATCAATTTTTAAACCAGTATAGAAAATTATTAGGTAACTTAAGTTCATTCAACATTAAAATAATCTGTATTCTATCTTTATAATATACTCCATTTATTAAAGCAGAAAAATTTGGGCCAGGAATGGTGGCTCACAACTGTAATCCCAGCACTTTGGGAGGCTGAGGTGAGCTGATCACCTGAGGTCAGGAGTTCGAGACCAGCTGGACCAACATGGTGAAGCCCCATCTCTACTAAAAATACAAAAATTAGCCAGGCATTGTGGTGGGTGCCTATAATCCCAACTACTCGGGAGGCTGAGGCAGGAGAATAGCTTGAACCCGGAAGGCAGAGGTTGCAGTGAGCTGAGATTGCACCATTGCACTCCAGTCTGGGTGACAGAACAAGACTCTGTCAAAGAAAAAAAAAAAACAGAAAAATTTGAACTGTTACTGCTGTTACTGCTAAACTTGGTACTATTTCTTGCAAAGGAAATTTGTATCAGTCAGTATATCAAATGTACCTGTAAATTTGTAACTTGGGGATTTAGACAGCAGAGTAGTTTTACCAGTTTATTTATTTCAGCATCATAGTAGACATTAATTCTTATGCTATTGGTGACATTATTCCCAGGCACACCACATCTGAAACATAACCATATACTTTCAATTATCATCTTCACCATCATCTCAACATATATCGTTGTATGGTTTTCAAAATATTTTCATTTATATTCTTTTATTCAGCCTTTCAACATCCCCATCAACTGGGTGGAATAAGTAGTTTCATCTATGTTTTAATGATGAAAAAGCTCACAAAGAGAGATTATGTGACTTCCTCAAGTTACTCAACCAGTAGTGATAAAGCTGATTCTAGTGCCCAAGTGTGCAGCTTCCTATTTCTTTTCCTTTCTTTCTCTCTTTCCCTTTCTCCCTTCCCTTCCCTTTTCTTTCTTTTTCTTTCTCTTTCTTTCTTTCTTTTTCTTTCTTTCTCTTTCTTTTCTTTCTTCTCTCTCTCTCTCTCTCTCTTCCTTCCTTCCTTCCCTCCCACCCAGGCTGCAGTGCAGTGGCATGATCTTGGATCACTGCATGCAACCTCTGCCTCCTGGGCTCCAGTCATCCTTCCACCCCAGCCTCTAGAGAAGCTGGAACTACAGTTCTATAGGGACATGCCACCATATCCAGAGAAAGGGTTTTGCCATGTTTCCCAGACTGGTCTCTAACTCCTGAGCTCAGGTGATCCACCTGCCTCAGCCTCCCGAAGTGCTGGGATTACAGGCGTGAGCCACCATGCCTAGCCCTGCCTCCTATTTCTGCAAAATTTTTATACATTTTTTATGTTCTCATTATGTTATATATCTATAATGGCAGCATTACTTGCATGGACTAAAGGCAGTATTATCTGCAGCATATTATAGATATTTCTTTGTATCTATCATTTTCTGTCTAATCCAGCAACCATCAGGATAGCGGGGACAAAATATTTTATTGTTCTTTGTTTGGCTTCCCAGAACATACGAATTCAATGTAATTAAAAATATTGATTATCTAAATAACAATAATAATAGTAATAATAATAACAGGAGGCTCTAAATATGTTAAATAGATGAATAGATAAGTGGGTGAGTGGATGGAATGGTGGATGGATGGATGAACGGATAGACGGATAAATATATGATAGGCATAAAGATAGAAGAATAAGATGTGACTCCTAAGGAAGACAAATGTGGTAACACACAAATAGATAGAATACATGTTGATTTGTACTATAATAGAGACAGGTACATTATACCAGGGGAACAGATGACAGAACAATTCATGGTATACCACATTTTACGATCTCTCTATAAATGTTGTACTATAGACCCATTGTTATGTTCTTTATGTTGTAAAGAAAAGAATTGAGAGTAATGAAGCATGCATGGCTCATTGTAAGAATTTTTAAAAGAAATCACTTTAGAATACATGGAAATCAACAAAGAATCTAGGAATTTAAAACCCTAAAGAACTTAAATAAAAAACCCAGCCCTACATATTTTATTAGAGCAGGGACACCCAGATGGGATGGAGGGAGGACGGGAGATGCCAATGTCATATACATGTATATTTAGTAGTTAAAGAAAGCATTGAGCCAAGGCATTAACCAGACACATTTCTAACCTTGACACAAGTTGCTGATAAAATGGCCCTTAGGATAAACAGCACAATTGGCCTTATTTTGACCTGAGTCAGCAGGAGCTTTTAGCGGTGGGGTACTTGGAGTTCTGTCATGTAAATGCCTTCTTGAACAAGAACAGAACACATTGTTCAGGTTGCTCAAACAGAGCTGGCAGTCAGTAACTGACACAAGAGAACTTGAGTAGAGACAAAACAGAAAGAAGATCTCTTTCAGGAGGAGTGGTGGCTGTTTAGGAAATTTAACAGAGTGAAAGGAAACTATTCTGGGAAAGATAATGTATGAATCCAAAATACTTTGGCACTTTAATCAAATATGCTGCTTACGGAAAAAGCATAGTCTGCACCCCAACACCTGCTGGACCTAATGGACTCTGAAATGTTGTTTCAGAATTAATCAAGTCATTTAAAATCATAGCTGCAGTCTCCATTCACTACTCCTGTGCGTAAATGTGCTGATCCCGATACTAATCCATGTCGGGTGACTTGAGCAATATATCATCATAATTGCCATTTAAGGCTGCAAATTGGAGCTAAAATAACCAGATGCAAAAGAGATGGCCGTATCATACTCTCAAGATGGATCTTCAAAGTTCAAGGAGAGTTCAAGCATGGAAGAGGCAATAGAAAGGGGTCAAGTGTAAGGGGATTGTTCATGTTCGAGAGGAATTAACTTTACAAATATATTGTTTCTGAGGTGGTAATTGTCCCATCTTACAGTTATTCATACCTCATTTACTCATTGCATTCTTCTCAAGCATTTAATGAAATGAATTTGATTTTGACCAAATATTCTATTTCAAAATTGCCATTAATTTTCAATATTTTTTATTCTCCTCTAAATTATCTGTTTAAAAGGGATAGAGACTGGAGTCAGGAAATCTAATATTTCCCTAGGTAATCTTTTGGCAAGAATTCATGCCAGTTTCAGATATTTCCTTCCTAGCTCAGTAAATTAAATCATTGAACTAAAAAACGTCACCAACATTCCAAACATCTCAAACTCAAAAGGCCAAGACAGAATTCTGTCCCATGTGAGTAAGACTAAGGCAGTTCTCTAAGCTTATCTGTCACAGTTCCTCACTTAGGTGACCATAAAAGCATGTAAATGAAAGCCTACTGCATACTTATTTGTTTGTATAAAATTAAGAAAGATTTGAAAAATTGGAAACAAGAGAGTGCCCCTGTAACTACTTCAGTATCAAAGTTGCTAAAATGCCACTATTACTTGCTACTTTGCTTGAGTCACCATTCTCCTAATATCATATAAAATAAATCACCATATAAAGGAACCACAATATACTACTTTTATTTCAAAATCCAAATTTGTTAATGTAGCACTCAAGGACCTTCACAGTCTGCAGCAAACCTGCTTATTTAACACTTCTTTCTTCACAAACTCTTGCTTTTCAGCTTCTGCAACAGTAAATGGCTCATCATTTCCTCGAAAAAATAAGGCTTGTTTAAACCTCTGAGCATTAGAAAAATGTTCTTCTCTCCATATAACATATCTCTCTTCCCCATTTCTCTAACTAGTACACTTATTTTCATACTTTAATACCCAGCTGAAATGTCACCACCCTTCTCTGACCAGCAACCCCAATAAATGACATTTAGTTTTGTTTTTGCTACACAGTGCACAATGAAAACCTCCATTAAAGAATTTATCACAACATATTATTGCTATTTCTTTTGTGTCAATCACCCTCAATTAGATCATGAACTAATAGAGTAAATGGACTTATTTTTACAATTTCTTTAAGTATTATATTAAATATAGGTAAAGCAATTTGCAAGAATCATACTGCAATATCAAAATTATTGCTTTTTTACTATTTTTATTTCTGAAAACAAGCAGTATATCACAGCGTATTATATATATTACTTTGTGTCTATCACTTTCTATCTAGTGTAGCAACTATCAGAATAGAGGAAACAAAATATTTAAAAACATAATTGTCAAAATTTTTCAAAATTTGATGAAAATTATATACCTTCAATTTTAAGATTTTAAATAAAAGCAGTACAATCACAAATAAAACTATACTAAGGAGCATCATAATCTGATTGCTCAAACTACTAATACAGAGAAAACTGAAAAACCAGCCAGTGGGGGAAAAAAAGCATGTTACACACAACAGGGAAACAAAGATAAGAATAACCTCAAACACCAACAGTCATGCACTTGAAAAGACAATGCAATGACCTCTTTAAAGTAATGAAAGAAAAAAATGATAAAACTAAAATTTTACATCTGGAAAAAAAATCTTCAAAAATGAAGGCAAAGGAAGCATTTTTTTAAGAAAAGTCAAATCTTCAATTTTTTGGCATCAGACTTCCATTAAAGAAATGTTAAAAGTAATTATTCTAGCTGAAGGAAAATAAACCCACCTGGAAATTTCAATACACACAGAGAAATTTAAGAGTGCCAAAATGGTAAATATGTGGTAAATATAACAGATATTTTTGTCATTTTAAAGTTTTTTTAAAAAAGATAGTGATAGTATTTTGAGGTTTATAACATGTAAGAAAATGTTTGTGCTAACAATAGAACAAAAGATTGGAAGGAGGAAATGGAAGTATGTAATTTATATGAATGTAGATTATAATAGATAATAAAGTAGACTATAATAATGTAGATTTCATTTAGTGAAATGAAATAAGACAGATATTTTGTTAAAAATCCAGAAGTATTGCTAAAGACAAAAATTGTAAAATATTCAGACTAACTCAAATAGAAGCAGAAAAAGAGTAAAGAGAAGAAGAGAAAATACAGGTCAAAAATAAAACAAATAAGAAAATGGTAAACCTAGCCTGAACCATACTAATAATTACATTACATGTAAATTATCTAAAGTTTCCAATAAAAAGCAAACATTTTTTAACTGAATAAAAAACATGACTAAACCATATATTGTTCACAAGAAATTCACTTAAAATATAAAGATTCAGATTAAAAATAAAAAGATTTTAAAAATTAGAAAAAATTCATATACTAATCAAAAGGAAACTGAAGTAGCTATATTAATATCAGGAAAAATACACTTCAGAAAAAGGGATATTACAGAATTTAAAATAAATATTTCAAAATGTCAAATGTGACAATTAAGGCAGAGTAATCCTACTTATATATGCTCTAAACAGGGATTCAAAACACATAAAGCAAAGCTGAAAAACACCATAAGGAGACAAATCCAGAATTATAGTTGCAGATTCAACACTTTATTTTAATAAATTAATAGATTAAGTAGACACAAAATAATAAGAGTATATAAGCCTTAAACAACACAATCAACCATCTTGACATAACTGACATTGTAGAGTACTCAACCCAACAAAGCAAGCCTAAACTTAAAATTATTAAAATTATACAATGTACTCTGACTATAATGTAATTGAATTAGAAATTAATGATAACAATCTGAAAATGCCATAATATTTGGAAATTAAATAACACTTCTGAAAAATCTGTGGATCAAATGAGAAGTTAAAAGGGAAATTATAAAATACTTGGCATTCATAAAAAATAATGAGATCATGTCATTTGCAGGAACATGAATTGAGCTAATGGCCATTATCCTTAGCAAACTAACACAGAAACAGAAAACCAAATACTGCATGTTCTCACTTAAAAGTGGGAGCTAAATGATGAGTACACATGGACACAAAGAGGGGAACAACTGACACGGGGACCTACCCAAAGGTGGAGCATGGGAAAAGGGAGAGGATCAGAAAAAAAATAACTATTGGGTAGTAGGCCTAGTACTTGAGTGATGAAATAATCTGTACACCAAACCCCTGTGACACAAGTTTACATATATAACAAACCTGCACATGGACCCCCGAACCTAGAATAAAAGTTTTTTAAAATGCTCAAATAATGATCAATTAAAACTTTTTAAAAATAGTAACAATAAAAAATATTTGGCTTTAATAGAAATGTAAACACAGACATCAAAATTTGTGGTATGCAACTAAAGCAATGTGTGATATTTTATATATATGGTTTTGTCCACAATCCCTGGCTCACAACCTCTATAGCCCTTGTTACAGTCTTTATTATAACGGTGCACTTTAGGCCTAAGAAGCAAACCTCAGAAAACAAAATCTCTCTTTCTGACCTTCCCCTGCCCTCCTTTCACCAACCCAAGGCAAGACACTAATCTTCCCCTGTCTTTCTGATTGTAGGTCATAAGTTTCACATTTCAGAACAAATTCTGCCCCATACCCTGGAGGAAGGAATGCTGCACAGAGAGGCCAAGAAAAATCTGAACATACAAACCTTGCTGGGTTTCCCCACTCAGTCTATTAGCATAAGATGATACCCTTTTTGTCTAATCACATTTCTACACGGTTGTCAATCAAGCCTATCTAAAGAAGTCTCCATAAAAAGGCCCTAGAAGACAGGGTTGGGAGTGTCTGGAATGCTGAACACACAGAGGTTCCTGGAAGATGGTGCACCTAGAAAGGGCATGGAAACTTTATGCCCCTTCCCACATGCCTCACCCTATGCATCTCTTCATCTGTATCATTTGGAATATTTTTTTATAATGAACCAGTAAACGTAAGTTTCCTTGAGCTCTGTGAGCTTCCCTAGCAAAGTAATTTAACCCAAAGTGGAAATGACAACTTGAAACTGGTTGATCAGAAGTTCCAGGGGCTGAGGGCTTATGACTAATGTTATCTTCAGGTAAATAGTGTCAGAATTGAATTGGAGTACATCTAGCTGGTGTTCACTGCAGAATTGACTGCTTGCTTGGTGTGCAAGGAAAACAATCTCATAGATTTGCTCACAGAAGTCTTCTGTGCTGAAATCAACAAAACCAAAACTTGGTTATATTAAAGAATAAATAAGCTTGATAGACTGCTAGCTGGACTAAGAAAGAAAAAACAATCCAAATAAACATGATTAGAAATGACAAGGGGACATTACCGTTAGTCCAAACTGCATTGTTATGTAAGCTCCCTGCTTTTTTGCAGACCTTGGTCAAAGTGAAACATTTCATGTGGGTTCAGGCCATGAGAAACAGCCTGCCTAATCACCTGACCACAAGGCAGGCAAAGGCCCAGCTAAAGGCAAAGGCTCAACTAAAGAAACATCCCTATGACATCCTGCTAGGCAAAGGCCCAACTAAAGAAACATCCCTATCATATTCTGCTGGGAGAAAGTGCAAGGAACACCACATTCTGCTGGAACAAGGGCCAGAACTGCCTCAACATGGGAACATCTTATCAACATCCTGACGGGCAGCAAACCATATGGCCCAGACTCCTCCCACCCATACCTACAAGTACAGCCTGTAAGCAGTGGTGGCTCTGGCCTTAAGCCAGTCCTCCATTTCTGCAGGTTTCTGCAATATACCTGTGTTGCTGTTTGAGCCACCCTCTCTCTGTATATATCTTTAACCCTCGCCTTCCCTTCAAAACCTAAAAATTATCACGAACCAAGAGAAAGAAAAAAACAAAAAACCTCAGAGACTGTTATGAACAACTCAATGCACACAAGCTAGAAAACCTAAAAGAAATGGATGGATTCCTGGAAACATAACCTGCCAACATTGAACTAGGAAGAAATTAAAACTCTGAACAGACCAATAACGAGTTTCAAAAATGAAGAGTAATAAAAAGCCTACCAGCCAGAAAAACCCCTTGACCAGACAGATTCACACCCAAAGACTACCAGACATATAAAGATGAGCTGGAAACCACTCCTATTGTAATAATTCCAAAAAAAAAAAAAATGGAGGAAGACTTCCTGACTCATTCTTTGAGGCCAGAAACATTCTGATACCAAAATCTGGCAGAGATAAAACCAAAAAAGAAAACTTCAGCCAATATCACTGATGAACATAGACACAAAAATCCCCAACAAAATACTAGCAAACAAAATCCAGCAGCACAACAAAAAGCTAATCTACTATGATTAAGTAGGCTTTATTCCTGGGATGCAAGGTTGGTTCAACATATACAAATCAAGAAATGTCATTCATCACTTAAACAGTACTAAAAACAAAAGCTACATGATTATCTCAATGCAGAAGAAGCTTTTGATGAAATTCAACATCTCTAAACATAATAACCATCAACAAAATGGCATTGAAAGAATGTACCTTAAAATAATAAGAGCCATCTATGACATACCACTAGCTAACATCATACTGAACAGGCAAAAACTGTTCACAAGCATTCCCCTTGTGAACTGTAACAAGACAAGAATACCTATTCTTACCATTCCTATTCCACATAGTGCCCTAGTTACAGCAATCAGGCAAGGAAACAAAATTAAAACCATTAAAATAAGAAGAAAGGAAGTTAAACTACCTCTTTTCACAGACTATAGGATTTTATATCTAGAAAACCCCATAATCTCTGCCCAAAAGCTGCTGGATCAGATAAACACCTTCAGCAAAGTTTCAGGATACAAAAATCAGTGGCATTTCTATACACCAACAATGTCCAAGCTGACAGCCAAATCAAGAATGCAATCCCATTCACAAAAGCCACAAAAAAATAAAATATCTAGGAACATAGCTAACCAGGGGGGTGAAAGATGTCTACAAAGAGAATTACAAAACACAGCTGAAAGAAATCAGAGATGACACAAACAAATGGAAAAACATTCCATATTCATGGATAGAAAGGATCAACATCATTAAAATGGGCATACTGCCCCAAGCAATTGACAGATTCAATGCTATTCCTATCAAATTACCAATGACATTTTTAACAGAATTATTCTTAAAAAAAACTATTCTAAAATACACATGGAAACAAAAAATAAAGAGCCCAAATAGCCAAAGCAATACTAAACAAAGAGAACAAAGCCAAGGGCATTATACTGCCTGACTTTGAACTATACTGGAGTGCTATAGTAACCAAAACAACATGATACTGCTACAAAAATAGACACATAGACCAATGGAATGGGTTTACAAACCCATAAAGCCAAATACCTACAACCATCTGATCTTTGGTACGGTTGACGGAAATAATTGATTGGGAAAAGACTCTCTCTTCAATAAATGGTGCTGAGATAACTGGCTAGCCACCTGCAGAAGACTGAAATTGAACCCTTTCCTTACACCACATACAAAAATCAACTCAAGATGGATTTTACTTAACCGTAAAAACCGAAACTATAAAAACCCTGGAAGAAAACCTAGGCAATACCATTCTGGATATAGGAACTGCAAAGATTTCATGACAAAGTTACCAAAAGCAATTGCAACAAAAGCAAAAATTGACAAATTGGATCTAATTAAACTAAAGGGCTTCTGCAAAGCAAAAGAAACTATCAACAGGTAAACAAACAACCACCAAAGTTCTAATATCCGGCATCTATAAGGAACTTAAACATACTTACAAGAAAAAAACACACAACCCCATAAAAAAGTGGGCAAAGGACATGAACGGACACTTTTCAAAAGAAGACCTACATGCGGCCAACAATCATATGACAAAAAATCTCAACAGCACTGATTATTAGAGAAATGCAAATCAAAATCACAATGAGATGTCCTCTCACACTAGTCAGGATGGCTGTTACTAAAAAGTCAAAAAATTACATGCTAGAGAGGATGCAGAGAAAAAAAACATTCATATACTGCTGTTGGAAATGTAAACTAGTTCAGTCACTGTGAAAAGCAATTTGGAGATATCTCAAAGAACTTAAAACAGAATTACCACTCCACCTAGCAATCCCAGTACTGGATATATACCCAAAGGAATATAAATTGTTCTACCATAAAGACACACACATAATATTTTCACTGCAGCACTATTCACAAGAGCAAAGACAAGAATCAACCTAAATGCCCATCAACAGGGGACTGGATAAAGAAAATGGGATACATACACACCATGGAATACTATGCAGCCATAAAAATGAACAAGATCATGTCCTTTGCAGCAACATGGATGGAACTAGAGGCCAATATCCTAAGTGAATTAATGCAGGAACAGAAAACCAAATATCTCATATTATCACTTATAAGTGGATGCTAAACATTGAATACACAAGGGCACAAAGAAGAGAACAGACACTGGGGCCTACTTGAGGATGAAGGGTGAAAGTGGGGTGAGAATCAAAAACTTACTTACCAGGTACTACACATATTACCTGGGTGACAAAATTATCTGTACACCAAACCCTGTGATACATAATTTACCCATGTAACAAAGCTGCACAGTTGCCCCTGAACCTAAAATAAAGTTGCAAAAAAAAAATTGAAACTGCAGACCTTCTAGATGAAAATAAGAGAAAATATTTGTATGCTCCGGTTACCCAAAGATTTCTTAGCTATGACACCAAAGGCACAATGCATAAACAACAATTGATAAAACAGATTGTATAAAAACTAAAAGTTTTTTCTGTGGCTATGACATTATTAAGACAATTAAAGGCCACAAACTAGAAGAATGTATTTGCAAGTCACCTAATTATTTCCCAAATATGTAGAGAACTCACAAAAGTCAATAATAAGCTAAGAAACAATCCAATTATTTAATGGGCAAAAGATTTGAAAAACAGTTCACCTAAGAAAATACAAATTGCAAATAAACACTTGAAAAGATGCTCAACATTATTAATTGTTAAGTTACGGACAAACAAAGGAAAACTACAATGTGACACTCCTCTATACTATTAGAATACTAAAATTAAAGAGCTTGACCTTTCCAAGTGTTGTTGAAGATGCAGAGCAACAGGAATTCTTATATTCTGCTGGTGTTGATGGGGAAATCTCATATTCTGCAGCACTTTGTTGTTGTTTTTCTTTTCATTTTTTATTTATATTTATCTATTTTTAACTTTTGGGGACATGCACAAATTTATTACATAGGTAAACTTGTGTCAAGGAAGTTTGTTGTATAGACTATCTCATCACCCACTTATTGAGCCTAGTACCCATTACTTATTTTTCCTGATGCTCTCCCTCCTTCCAACCTCCACCATCCAAAAGGCCCCAATGTGTGTTGTTCCCTTCTATGTGTCCAACTGTTCTCATCATTTAGCTCCCACTTATAAATGAGAACAGGTGGTATTTGGTTTTCTGTTCCTGCATTAGTTTGCCAAGGATAATAGCCTCCAGCTCCATCCATGTTCCCACAAGAACATGATCTCATTTTTTTATGGCTGCATAGTATTCCATGGTGTATATGTACCACATTTGCTTTATCCAGTCTATCATTGCTGGGCATTTAGGTTGAATCCATGTCTTTGCTACTGTGAAAAGCGGTCCAATGAACATACACATGAATGTATCACCAACAGTGTAAATGCATTCCTTTTTCTGCACAACCTCACCAGCATCTATTCTTTTTTGACTTTTTAGTAATTGCCATTCTGACTGGTATGAGATGGTATCTCACTGTGGTTTTTACTTGCCTTTTTCTATGATTAGTGATGTTGAGCTTCCTTTTATATGTTTGTTGGCCATATGTATGTCGTCTTTGGAGAAGTGTCTGTTCATGTCCTTTGCCCACTCTTTAATGGGGTTGTTTTTTTTCCTTGTAAATTTATTTAAGTTCCCTATAGATGCTGGATATTAGACTTTTATCAGATGCATAGATTGCAAGAATTTTCTCCCATTCTGTAGGCTGTTTATTCTGTTGATAGTTTCTTTTGCCTTGCAGAAGTTCCTTAGTTTAATTAGATCCCATTTGTAAATTTTTGCTTTTGTTGCAATTCCTTTTGGCATTATCGTTATGAAATCTTTGCCCATGTCTGTGTCCTGAATGGTATTACCTAGAGTTTCTTCTAGGGTTTTTGTAGTTTTGGGTTTTACATTTTAGCCCTGAAATCATCTTGAGTTGATTTTTCTATGTGGTGTAAGGAAGGGGTGCAGCTTCAATTCTCTGCATATTGATAGCCAGTTCTCCCAGCACTATTTATTAAATAGGAAATCCTTTCTCCATTGCTTGTTTTTGTCAGGTTTTGTCAAAGATCAGATTGTTGTAGGTTTGAAGTCCTATTTCTGGGTTCTCTATTCTGTTTCATTGGTCTATGTGTTTGTTCTTGTACCAGTGCCATGCTGTTTCGGTTACCATAGTTCTGAAGTATAGTTTGAAGCTGGGTAGCATGATGCCTCCAGCTTCCACTCTTTTTGTTTAGGATTGCCTTGGCTATTCAAGCTCTTTTTTGGTTCTATATGAAGTTTAAAATAGTCTTCTCTAGTTCTGTGAAAAATGTATGGTACTTTAATAGGAATAGCATTGAATCTATAAATTGCTTTGGGTGGTATGATCATTTTAACGATATTGATTCTTCCTATCCATGATCATGGAATGTTTTCCAATTTGTTTTTGTTATGTCTGATTTCTCTGAGCAGTGGTTTGTAATTTTCCTTGTAGAGATCTTTCACCTTCCTAGTTAGCTGTATTCCTGGGTATTTTATTCTTTTGGTGGCAATTGTGAATGGGAGTTTGTTCCTAATTTGGCTCTCAGCTTGACTGTTGTTGATGTATAGGAATGCTAGTGATTTTTGCATACTGATTTTTTGTATTCTGAGACTTTGCTGAAATTGTTTATCAGCTTAGGAAGCTTTTGGGATGAGACTATGGGATTTTCTACATATAAGATCATGTCATCTAGCAGCCACCCTGAAAAACTGTATTGGCAGTTTCTTAAAAAGCTAAACATACTCCTAGCACATGACCTAGTCATTTTGCTCCTATGTATTTATGAAAGAGAAATGAAAGCATGTGTCTATATAAAGACTTGAAAACAAATGTTTGTAGCAATTTATTTGCAATAGCTAAAAAGTGGAAACAATCCAAATGCCAATCATCAGGTGAATGGAG